>NC_000013.11:68862651-69014166 GCF_000001405.40 Homo sapiens | reverse complement strand
CACTTATTTCTACCAGGCATTAATTAGTTTAAGTATCAATATTTATAATTAATTTACCTTGAGCATTTTAGTGTAAAGCAGGATACATTTTTGTCTTTTTTGGATCACCCTTATCGAAAACAGTTGAGGGATTTTTCTTCCAGAACAAAAGATATTGTAGAAGACAATGGCTTCTTAAATTGCAAACTACATTATGCAGAGAGAGAGGGAGAAAGAGAAAGACAGAGAGCAGGATAGAAATGCAGAGAGAAGGGAGGAAGTAGGAAAGAATGAAAGGAAAAAAGTGTGTTTGTTTGGGAGGGAATTATTGTAGATTCAGAGACTAAAGAGGTACAAAAGTTGGACAAATCATTGTTGCTTGACAATATCCTGTAACAAAACACAAAATAAAATAAAATTAAAAACACTTACGTAAGATGTTTTGAAAAATGTTGAATATGAATAAGATACAAGGCAATATTTGATAATTTGTTAATTTTGTTATGAATAATATTATTGTTGCAATATAAGCAAGTATACTGTTATTTAAAACATTCTCGTTTAGTCATGGATGAATGTCAGGATATCTACAAATTAATTTAAAGTGGTGTGTAAATAATACTTCAGAATGTGTCTCATTTTTGGATTTAGGTGAGGGGATCATTGTATTTTTCTCTATTTTTCAAGTTTTTGATATATTTTATTCAATATTACATTATTTTGTACATATATTTGATCAAAACCAGATTATTATTTTTATTTTAACTTTTTTAATACTTACTAGTCAAGCTCACCTATATTTCTCAAGTTTTAAAAATTCTTATTTTTTTAGGTGTCTTTGTTATATACCGTAGAGTCAGGTGTTGTTTGTGAGATATATGGTGAAAATATTTTTTAATAATTAAAATTAAGTCATCAAATAGAAAAGTTATGTTTAGTCTTACCCTTTCTTTATTTAAGGTCAATATTACTGCTTAGCAAATGACACTGAAACAAAGTGACTCAAAAGTGATTCATCTATGTTTGTATCAGTTGGGTATTAGTTATCCTCTAGGATGTGTTTTCTCATGCCTCTGCAATCAACAGTGAAACAGATAGTTAGCTCTGCTAATCTTGATTCTGTTGGTTTACATAATCATGGGCCAGATTGCTGTTGATTGGTCTCCATCTTCTGTCATACGCTACCATGGTAGCCTTGACTTGTTCACAATGTGGTGGCAGGATTCTCAGGGGAAGTCCTCCTGAACCTCAAGCCCGCATTTCTTGCGACTGTGTTTTCACCTCATTCTGTTGATCACATTAAATTGCAAGAATTATCAATAATCAAGAGGATGCAGAAATCATCTCTATCCCTGGTTAGATGGTTAGATCTGTAATGTCACATTACTAAGGGCACATATGCAAAGAGAGATTGCAAAGGACATAGATTCAAAGAGACGTTAAGTATTGGAGCCATTTTCAAATCAATCTACTACCATCTTAAAATTGTCATATAAGTTTAGGTTATGCATTCTGAGATACGCTTTAAAGAAATCCAAGCTACTACAGATCAGAAAATCAGCTAATTAATTTTAGCCCCCAAATGCCACCTTTTCTCCTGTCAATTCTTTGTAAGTTGTACTGTTTCAAAATTATTAGAACACACATATTTACATGATATTTCAATCTCTGAATTTTTACATTTGCTTTATTCTTAATTCACCTTGTAAATAGAGGTAATTTATGACCAAATTTTTATCATTTGTGAGGTCATATCCTGATTTCAAATAATACCATAGCCAATATTCATGAAAAAAATAAAAGCATACCTGTCATAGTTAACATAAATACCAATTGCAATGTACAACGCAATGTGCATAGTTTTCACGGTGAAAATGTCTTGTTTCTCCCTGTGTTTATATTAATTTTAATTATCTGCACTAAGGTATCCCTCCTATTCTTTGGTAGAGAAAACTGATCTTATCTTTGTTAGGACTTCCCCATTACAAATTTTTGTCTGCTCTTTTCTCTGTTCTTATTTGCCATCGATTTGATCACATTTGCGTTTAATTTCTTAGGAATTATTTCACGTTTCTTTTCTCAGATTTATTCATGCATATATAATGTGTGATACATTAATTGATCTTTATACAAAAGGGAGGTACTTGGGTGTGTCCCCGACAATACATTGATCCAAGTTTTAGATTTTTCTTCACAATTCTTCCCTTTGTTGAGCATAATCAAGGAAAGCAAGTCCCAAACTAGGTAAAATAAAAGATGTTTGGCCGGGCCGGGCGCGGTGGCTCACGCCTGTAATCCCAGCACTTTGGAAGGCCGAGGCGGGCGGATCACGAGGTCAGGAGATCAAGACCATCCTGGCTAGCACGGTGAAACTCCGTCTCTACTAAAAAAATACAAAAAATTAGCCGGGCATGTTGTTGGGCGCCTGTAGTCCCAGCTACTCAGGAGGCTGAGGCAGGAGAATGGCGTGAACCCGGGAGGCGGAGCTTGCAGTGAGCGGAGCTCGCGCCACTGCACTTCAGCCTGGATGACAGAGCGAGACTCTGTCTCAAAAAAAAAAAAAACAAAGATGTTTGTATTACTTAAAAAGTATTTTGGTTTTCTGAAAAGTTTTCTCCCATATTTTATATTAAAAGAGGATTGAAACAAATTTTCATTTCTGGTGGAGAAACCTAGCAATCTGTGGATAATACATGGGTGAGCCAGTATCTGGAAACCCACGTATGGAAATTTTGCTTCTTTGTGTTTCTTCTATTTCTGAAGAAGTTATTCTAAAAACAAGATTTGCATTTTTAAACTAATTTTGTCCTCAATTCCATTCCAGCTCTCTATGGGTTTTGTCACCTCTGTTAAATGAATAAGTGAATTTTTAAAAGATGTGCCTCTGTATTTCTCCTTTATAGCACAGCTCTCCTCTGTCAATGAAAGGTTTATTTATTTCAGTGAGATACTGACCAGTTGGAGAGCTTTTTGTTTGATAAATTCTTCCTCAATCCTGTGCAATAAATATATGTATGTTTTTGTCTTTCCTGGATCACCCTTATTGAAATCAGTTGAGAGATTTTTCTTCCAGAATAAAAGATATCGTAAAAGACAACGGCTTTTTAAATTCCAAACTATATTGTGCAGAGAGAGAGAGAGAATGAGAGAGAGACAGAGACAGAGACAGACAGCAGAAGGATAGAAAGAAGGCAGAGGGAAGGGAGGAATTAGGAAAGAATGGAAGAACAAAAGTATGTTTGTTTGGGAGGGGATTATTGTAGATTAGGCGACTAAGGTTTAAGAGACCTTAATCTTTGTAAATTAAGGGTTAAGGGACCTTAAACTTTATTGCAGATTAAGAGACTAATAATAAGTTTGAATGAAGCTAAACTTCAAAGCACCATTCAACCACCTCTGAACCACAGTATTGAAAGAGATATAAATTGGAGCACTCACTTTCTGCTCCATACTCCTACACCCACCATCTCTTCATACGCATTTTCAAAGAGCTGTAATTACTTTTGTGACAATATTCTGCTGTGGTAGGTAGCTTCTTAATGACTTTTTGGTATCTTTTCTTTACATTTTTTATTCTTTCCTACTCCTTAAAGAAAATTATAAAAGATTTTTGCATGTACAAAGTATTTTTAAGCTCTGTAACAAGTTTATATGATTTCATTTATCTTAATAACCACACATAGAAACACACACACATTCACAGAGAGTTTTGCTTAATGAAGCAGTCTATTATTCAGAATACTATACAAAACAAATGAGTGCAATGTGCATCTGTTCACAGCATAACATCTTTAGCGACCTATTTAATAAGTGACGTTCTATGTCTTCAGTTTCATGCCATGACTAAATACTATCTTGCTTCTATTATTGAAGAGAAATAATACTGAATTTATTACTTTAGGCTTCTGATTCTTTGGCATTCTTATTACCAAGACACTTTTAAATCTCTCTCTACATAAAAGTTCCTTAATCACAAATGACAAATAACAAATAATAAACAGCAAATAACTAAGTCATCTGAAGCAGAGTAATTTTTAAATAATTTTGGATAATTTTTTGACAACTACCTACAGCTCTCCATTTTATAATGTTATTTTCAAACATTAATTACAGATGTTGATATTTATTAATTGATAATGAAATTATTTAATTTTGTGATGTGCTCATTTTATACCCTTTCATTTGTCAATGTTCTAACAAAGAATTGATTTTACAAATCATACAACTGTATGTAATGTTAAAATATTATTGAAGTATATTTTAGTTTTATATTCTATGTTACACTTAGAATTTTTTAGAGGGTGCCAGAAGACTAGCTGATAATAAACATAATAAATATTTTTGTAAATATAATTTTATATTGGAGGTATAATGTCCACATATTATTTAAGTATACTTAGCTAAAACCCTCATTTCTTTAGTTTTTTAGTTGAAACAAGCTTATGACAAGGTTAAGAAACTTTGTCAAATTACATGGTAATATAATTTCTATGACTGAAAAACTAATGTGAAATTTAGAATCTGTATTAATGCAAATGATTTCTATCAATAAACAATTTGTTTTTTATTCTATTACATTGTCTCAGTATATAAGCACATCAATAATATATACTCAAAATTAAGTGAATATTCAATTCCTTTCAGAATAAACATAATAACAAATACTAGCTACCCACTCATTTCCTATAATACTACTGCCATATGTCTAACTTGGTTTCATGAAAAATAGAAAATTTGAAATTTTCTTGGCACAGTTGGAAGACAAAAATTAAGGAAAAAAAACGAAAATGTTCAATATTCAACATATGTCACAACCAAATCTAGAAGGTAAAAATGTTAATTTTTTACATAAGAGATACATTTTTATGTAATCATAATAGTTTTAAAAAGTAATTACAATATGTAAGTCTGTAAATTTTTCTTATAACTTACTGATTTAACAATTCAACTTGCTGGCCAGGCTCGGTGGCTCACGCCTGTAATCCCAGCACTTTGGAAGGCCCAGGTGGGTGGATCACGAGGTCAGGAGATCGAGACCATCCTGTCTAACACGATGAAACCCCATCTCTACTAAAATACAAATAATTAGCCGGGCGTTGTGGCCGGCGCCTGTAGTCCCAGCTACTCGGCAGGCTGAGGCAGGAGAATGGCGTCAACCCGGGAGGCGGAGGTTGCAGTGAGCTGAGATCGCACCACTGCACTCCAGCCTGGGCGACAGAGTGAGACTCCGTCTCAAAAAAAAAAAAAAAAAAAAAAAAAAAAAATTCAACTTGCTAAACACAAATTGAATCAATCATGCCTGTATGAAGCGTTTTAAAGCAATACACACACACAAACACATACGCATTTACATGTATTTTTACTTTAAGCAAAGTTTGATGAGAACTACTGTTATATAAAAGAGGAGAGAAGTGGATCTTTGTCTGGTTGAAAAAGGGGTGGACAAGAAGTCCTGTTTACTTGGCTTTCCGTTTCCAATGTTGTTCTCACACCCTGCTGCACCATGGACAGTTCTATGCACTACGGTTTGAAAACCACTGCTCTAAATTTGCTTTTGCTACTAAAATTTTTAGATTGATAATGCTACAAAAGATATTGCTTATAGGCCCCCAGTCTCTGTTAGACGCCTAGGGAATTGTCACTTAGCTAGTTATAGTAGTCAGGGCTGGTCAACAAACCCAGTTATTTATTTATTGTACTTTCACTTACTTAGCTATTACAAGTTCTATCATAATAAAATAAACTTAAGTCTAGAATAGCAGAGTCAAAATACATTTTAAATTAACTTAGAAGAATAAGTGTTCATTTTAGGTTATAAAATAAGTATTTTTTATTTTCTTATTTCTGTCAAGCTCTTTAATCACAATATTTTATTACAAATTTAATTTTTCTTCTTAGTAAGTTAAATTATACTAATAAGAAAACAAACGTCAGTTGCTGTTTACAGGTTTCCATCACTAAAATTTTTATCAGAGTATTTCTTTAATCTCATAAAGAAGTACCAGTACATTATTGATCTTATAAACATATTTACTCAGGAAATAGAATACATTGCTTATAATAAATTAAAGAGAAATTTTATATTTTTACTATTCATATAATGTCCTAACATTATCTGTAATTTAATCTTTAAAAAAATTTAATTATCTTTTTAGAGTGTTTATTGAATTTTTTTCTTCTGCTTATAACAAATTCTAGTACACAACATTTCATTATAGTGATGAAGAAACAAACAGAATAGGAATAATGGAGTGTATTGAGTTGTATATTTTTTATTCACTTTTAGTTTGGTAAGATTGTAATTTACCATGGTAACTAAGTTTTATCAATCTCCACCCCCATTTTTTCAATCTGCTTACATGACAGAGGCTGTAAGAAGAGCATTCACCAGTAACGTAAACAAAACTGATTCTAATGAAAGAAGACATGCTCACAGAAATATTGAGAAGCCTAATTTACCACCATGCACAATTTAATAAGAACCTGCATTCTTCTTTGTATGATATGTCCTTTTTTATAATTTATTGCTCTTTTGTAATTATTAGTTTATTTTAATGTCCATCATCATTACTTTACATGATATTAGTAAAATTTAGCAAGAATGAAATAGCATTGCTCTATAAAACAGTAAGACCACTTTGAATATACTGCTCACCCAAAAAATGCCAATCAATCTGCTATGGTTTGGCTGTGACCCCACACAAATCTCATCTTGAATTGTAGTTTCCATAATCTCTACGTGTCATGGGAGGGACCCGGTAGGATGTCATTGAATCATGAGGGCAGTTACCCTCCTGCTGTTCTCCTGATAGTGAGTTCTCATGAGATCTGATAGCTTTGTAAGGGGCTCTTCTCCCTTTTTGCTGGGTACTTTTCTTTACGGCTGCCATGTGAAGAAAGACATGTTTGATTCTGCCACGATTGTAAGTTTCCTGAGGCCTCCCCAGTCATGCTGAATTGTGAGTCAATTAAACCTCTTTTGTTTATAAATTATCAAGTTTCACATATGTCTTCATTAGCAGCATGAGAACAGAATAATATATCTGCAATTGATGAAAATCATTTGGCAAAACATTCCTTTCCAAAATATTTTCAAATTAGAAAACATGTTTATGAAACTTGAAAAATAAAATTTAGATTTAGTACTAATGAAAAAATTAGTATTTTTCTACAAAAATATAATTTTTAAAAGATTATAATATATAAAATATTTGTGAAATATTTTTATGGTGCAAATTTTATTGCAGGTAAAGAATAAATCTTATGTTTGTTGTTTATATATGTTAATTTAATTCTCAGTTTTCTGAAAGTTCTTATTTTCATATACTATAAATGATTGCATTATTTATGTGTATTATGGAAATTAAACAGATTAAAAGCAATATTATCAGGGATCTTCAGCACATTCTTGAATGAAGTCATGTGGAAAAATACAAATTATACAACTGAATAGACTGGTAACCCCTTTATTACAAAATAATTAACTTATACTTAAATTTTTTGTTTACTTTAACAAAGTAGTGGCTATAATGAAGTTGTTACGATGTTCCAGAAACTTTTATCCTATGAGGCAGCTAACTTTAATTTACTAATTTGCAAATGAGTAAATAAGTAGTTAAATCTTTTCTCTTTCGTTTTAGTATCCACTATTTTAGTATCCAATATTTCTCTTTGATTAGTATCCAATACTTAAGCTTACTATATAAATATATACCATTTTTAACAAAAAGGTATTATTTTCACCTGCAATTTATTACAATTATTCCAAATAATGTGTCTATTATCATGGTTTCTTTTGGAACTGCTGAGGAAAATGAGTCCTCCATATGGTATGTCATTCTGCAGCAGGTTTTCACAGGCTTGTTCATATGGAACAACAGATTCCAAGAGCAATAACAGAAATGTTTAAACATTTTGAGGGCAGAATTAAAAATTGTTTAATGTTACTTCTGCTTCATTGTACTGGTCAACACAATCAAAAAGTCAACCTAGCTTCAGGAAATACCTGGAATACTTCAGTAAATCCATATCACTAGAATGTTAAGATTAGTCATGGTAAAGCAGATATTTTTGCTTTTTTTGTTCTAACTTGTAACCTCAAAACCTCTATTGCTGTCTGACATATGGTAGGAGCTTAAGAAATATTTCTTTAATGAATAAATAAATCATTACCATAAGGTAAATTTATTTTTCTTGATTATCTTAGCTGTTACATTTATTTCATCTGTATATTCTTGACCAATACAAGGCTGGAAGCTTCTCAAATATGTTCATGTAAATGTCTGCACCTGCCTCCAGAAAATAATGGATTTTTCTTTCTCCTCTTCATTTCAAATATTATGTTTGTTTGTTTGTTTCTTTGTTTGTTTGTTTTGCATTTTACAGATCTACCTGGGACTAAAAAGGTAGAGAAATCTAGGATATGTAGTTTATGTTTTTTCCTCTGTGAGGCACAGGTATCCATAGAAGGGAGAATAATGATATAAAATTGAATCAGGTAACCTATTACATGATTCCAATGTATTTCAACTGAAGCTAACTTTACTATCAGCTGACACGTAGATATTAGACCCAGATCTGGCCTACTGGATACATATCCTTATCCATAAGTTTCAGGTCCAATGTGAGCCAACATCAAAGTTTGAGTTTGAGTCTGTGTAGAGTGGAGTTCTTGTTACTTTTTCATCTCCTGAATGTGAAGATGCAACCTTAGACCTTCTGGAAACCATACTGCAATATCAAATATAGAGAAGAGGTCTAACTGGCTCCTTAAGACATAATTAGTTAAGACATAGTTTAATCCTGTGGAACTAGCATTCAGCAAATATCACCTGTCACCTCTCAGTTATGTGAACCTATGTATATAATGTGTCATTGGTTCAGGTGAGTAACGTTGGTCAATGGATAAAAAATAAAACACAGAATCTGACCAACATGGCCATAACATTCCATCTATCTATCTATCTATCTATCTATCTGTTAAACTTAAGCATTTTGCAAGTGACATTTCTGTTACAGTAAAGATAGAGACAAAAGTTTGTTATGTAAAATTGCAATCTGTTAAAGTGAATGTAGGAAAAGTCAGGAGTTACGAAAACACAGTTTTAAAAGCTCAGATTAAAAAATCTTAGGTCATTGTCGATGGAATGACCGAGACTATTATAAGAGTCAGCTGTCCTCCTCCAAACACATCACAAGTACATGAGTCACTATAAAAGAAAATAAAATAAATGGAAATAGAAAACTATAAAATTATTTTACATTAGTAGATACACACACAGTCTTACATAGTACTAAATTGAGTCCTAGAAGACTTGAAAATCAAAGTATATCAGAACTTCATAAAATATAGGTAATTAAATATTAGGCAATTATTTAATAATTTAAAAACTATTGGTTAAAGGAAAGAATCTTCAAATATTCAGAAGGGGAAGTGTTAAAAATAATTTTATCAATTAAAAACTCTTAAATGTAGGGAATAAGGCAGGAGACATTTTTCTTGAAAAATAATATATACTTACTTTGAGCAAATTTTATTAAAGTTATTTGTAAAATAAATAGAAATATAACAATTAACATAATGGTAATAAAATAATCAGCATTACAAGTTTTATTCAATATAATTTCTTATGCATAGCTAATTACTCCAAAGCCGTTCATGGCATTATTTTCTTCAAGTATGCTCCCTGTGTTGTATAACAAGGTGCCATGTGTACATGTGTATGTTTTGTCAAAAAAAAAAAATTGCACTGGTCAAGTTCCAAAGGCAAGGAAAACAGTATTCAAGACTATTGCAATAGGTGAGAGAGATTAAACTGAACTCTGCTGAATCGAAAGGCAGGAGAGTTTTTATGCCCTGGGATGAATTAGTGATAAATAATAGAGGATGCTAGAGGGGAGGTTGTTGAAGGTAATTGGGCCATCTGTGTTTTCTAACTGGTGCTTGTAGAAGTTAGGCTCCTCCTCTGCCATAGAGACTGGGAGATAAGTACGCTATCTTTTTCTCTACATATTCATGAGTTATAAAACTGACAAGAAGCTGGAAGAAGATAATGTACATATCAAATGGGCAAAGAAGGAATACACAATGGAAATGTTCTAAAGTAGATATTACAAGAAAAGAGAGACAAAAGAGACAAGCCAATAGGGTGAAATCTTTCTAAATTTTAGTCAAGATGAAGGGAATGTTATGGCCCTATTGGTGAGATTTTGTGTTCTATTTTCTATCCATTGTTACTCACCTGAACCAATGACACATTATATTGATCACAATGACTGTATGCCAAACTTTGAGATCAGTAAAAGTTACATTTCTGCCCTTCTTCATAATCTTCATCATAAAACAAAATATTCTTTCACCTTTAATTTTTCATGCTACCTTAAAAAGGTATATTGAATTAAATTACAATTATTTAGAATATATAAATTACTGTTCTTTTATCTTAAGTTCAGAGGTTTGTGTGCAGGTTTATTAAATAGGTAAACTTGTGTCATGTGGGTTTGTTGTATAAATTACTTCATCACCCAGGTATTAAGCCTAGTACCCATTAATTATTTTTCTTGATCATCTCCCTTCTCCCACCCTCTACCATAAAGGAGTCCCCAGTGTCTGTTGTTCCCTTCTGTGTGTCCATGTGTTCTCAGCATTTAGATCCCACTTATAAGTGAGAACATGCAGTATTCAGTTTTCTGTTCCTGCGCTAGGCTGCTAAAGATACTGGGCCCTAGTTCCATTTATGTTCCTGTAAATCACATGATCTCATTTTTTGTTTGTGGCTATATAGTATTCCATGGTGTATTATGTACCACATTTTCTTTATCTGGCCAATATTGATGGGCATTTAGCTTGATCCCATGTCTTTGCGATTGTAAAGAATGTTACAATGAACATACGTATGCTGGGTCGAATGGTATTCCTGTGTTTAGGTCTTTGAGGAATCACCAGATTGTATTTTACAATGGTTGAATTAATTTACACTCTCACCAACAGTGTATAATCTCCTTTTTGTCTGAAATCTCACCAGCATCTGTTTTATTTTTTTACTTTCTATTAATAGCCAGTCTGACTAGTGTGAGATGATATCTCATTGTGGCTTAGATTTGCATTTCTCTAATGATCAGTGATGCTGAGCATTTTTCATATGCTTGTTAGCCACATGTATATCTTCTTTTGAAAATGTCCTTTGCCCACTTCTTAATGAGGTTGTTTGTTTTCTTCCTGTAAATTTGTTTAAGTTCCTTATAGATGCTGGATGTTAGACGTTTGTTGGTTGCATAGTTTGTAAAAATTTTCTCCCATTCTGTAGGTTGCCTGTTCACTCTTTTGACAGTTTTCCTTGCTTTGCAGAAGGACTTCAGTTTAATTAGATATTATTTGTCAATTTTTGCTTTTGTTGCAATTGCTTTTGGCATTTTTGTCATGAAATCTTTGCCCATTCCTGTGTCCAAAATGGTATTGCCTTCATTGTCTTCCATGGATTTATCGTTTTGTATTTTAAATTTAAGTCTTTATTCCATCTTGAGATAATTTTTGTATATGGTGCGAAGAAGGGGTCCAGTTTCAGTCTTCTGCTTACGGCTAGCCAGTTGTCCCAGCATGACTTATTGTACAGAGAATCCTTTTCCCAATGCTTCTACTTGTCAGGATTGTAGATCTGATAGTTGTGGGTATGCAGACTTATTTCTGGGCTCTCTATTCTGTTCCATTTGTCTATGTGTCTGTTTTTGTACCAGTGTCATGCTGCTTTGGTTAATGTAGCCCTGTAGTACAGTTTGATCCAGAGTAATGTGATGCCTCCAGCTTTGTTCTTTTTACTTAAAATTACCTTGGCTATTTGGATGTCTTTTTGGGTCCATATGAATTTTAAGATAGTTTTATTTTGTAGTTCTGTGCGGAATCTCAATGGTAGTTTAATATAAATAACATTGAATCTATAAACTCCTTTGGGCAGTATGACTATTTTCACCATATTGATTCACCCTATCCATGAACATGGAATGTTTTTCCATCTTTTGTGTCATCTCTGATTCCTTTGAGCAGCAATTTTTAGTTCTCCTTTTAGACATCTTTCACCTTTGTCTTTAGTTCTTTTCCTAGGTATTTTATTCTTTTTTTGGCAATGGTGAATGGGACAGCATTTCTGATTTGGCTTGCAGCTTGACTGTTGTTGGTGTTTAGTAATGCTAGTGATTTTTGCACACTGATTTGGTATACTGAGACTTTGCCAAAGTTATCAGTTTAAGGAGCTTTTGGGCTGAGAGTGTGGGGTTTTCTGGATATAGGATTATGCCTTCTGCAAACAGGGATAGTTTGACTTCCGCTCTTCCTATTTTGATGCCCTTCATTTGTTTCTCTTACCTGATTGCCCTGGCCAGGACTTCCAATACTATGCTTAATAGGAGTAATGAGACAGGGCATCCTTGTGTTGGGCTGGGTTTCAAGGGGAGTGCTTCCAGTTTTTGTCCATTCAGTATAATGTTTTCTGTGGGTTTGTCATAGTTGGCTCTTATTATTTTGAGGTACTTTCTTCAATACCCAGTTTATTGATAATTTCTAACATAAAGTCACATTGAATGTTATCTAAATGTTATTCTGCATCTATAGAGATATTGATGCTATTTTTGCTTTAGTTCTGTTTATGTGATGAATCAAATTTATTGATTTGCATGTGTTGAACCAACCTTGCATTCCAGGGGTGAAGCCTACTTCATCCTAGTGGATAGGCTTTTTGATGTGCTGCTGGACTTGGTTTGTCTATATGTTGTCAAGGATTTTTGCATTGATGTTCATCAAAGATATTGGCTCAAAGCTTTCTTTTTCTGTTATATCTGCCCAGTTTTGGTATCAGTATGATGCTGACCTCATAGAATGAGTTAGGGAGAAGTCCCTCATCTTCAATTTCTTGGAATAATTTCAGGAGGAATCGTACTACCTCTTGTTTGTACATCTGGTAGAATTTAACTGTGAATCTGTTTCTAATCTTTCTTTTTTTTTTTTTTGCATGGCAGGCTATTTATTACTGACTCAATTTCAAAGCTTGCTATTGATATGCTCAGGGATTCAATTTCTTTCTGTTTCAGTATTGGGAGGGTGTATGTGTCCAGGAATATATCCATTTCTTCTAGATTTTCTAGTTTATGCGCATAGAGGTGTTCATAATATTTTCTGATTGTTGTTTGTATTTCTGTGGGGTCAGTGGTAATATCCCCTTTGTTGTTTCTGATTGTATTTACTTGAATCTTCTCTCTTTTCTTTTTCTATCAGTCTAGCTAGCAGTCTATCTGTTCCATTATTTTTTTCAATAAAACAGTTTCTGTATTTATTGATCTTTTGAATGCTTTTATGTATTCCAATCTCAGTTCAACTCTGATTTTGGTTATCTCTTGTCTTTTGTTAGCTTTGGGATTCATTTGCTCTTTGTTCTCTAGTTCATTTAGTTGTGATATTAGGTGGTTAAATTGAGATCTTTATAACTCTTTAATGTGGGCATTTAGTGCTGTAAATTTCTCTCTTATTACTGCCTTAGTTGTGTCCCAGACACAACTAAGTATGGTATGTTGTATCTTTGTTGTCATTATTCTCAAAGAACTTCTTGATTTCTGCCTTAACTTCATTATTTACCCAAACGTCCTTCAGAAGCAGGTTATTCAATTTCCATGTAATTTTATTGTTTGGAGTGAATTTCTTAGTCTTGATTTTTAAGTTAATTGCACTGTAGTCCAAGAGATTGTTTGTTATGAATTTAGTATTTCTTGCATTTGCTGAGGAGTGTTTTCCTTCAGATTATGTGATCAGTTTTAGAGTATGTACCATATGGCAATGAGGAGAATGTATATTATGTTGTTTGGGGGTGGAGAGATAGATATATATCAGGTTCATTTGTTCCAGTGCTGATTTTTGGTCCTGAAAATCTTTGTTAATTTTCTGTCTCAATGATCTGTCTAATATTTTAAATGGGTTGTTAAAGTATCCCACTATTGTTGTGTGGGAATTTAAGTCTCTTTGAAGGTCTCCAAAAACTGGCTCTATGAATCTGGGTGCTCCTGTGTTGGGGGAATATATTTTTAAAATAGTTAGGTCTTCTTGTTGAATTGAACCCTTTACCATTATGTAATGCCCCGCTTGGTCTTTTTTTTTTTTATATATCTTTGTTGGTTTAAAGTCTGTTTTTTCTGAAACTAGGATTGCCACCTTTGCTTCTTTTCTGATTTCCATTTACTTGGTAGATATTTCTCCATCCCTTTATTTTGAGGCTATGTGTTTCACTGCATGTGAAATGGGTTTCTGGAAGAAACCAATAGATCTTTGTTCTTTATCCTACCAATGGATCTTGGTTCTTTATCCAGTTTACCACTCTGTGTCTTTTTTTAATTGGAGAATTCATCACATCACCTCTCCAGCAAGGATATGGTGGAAATAACAGAAATAGAATTCAGAATATGGATAGGGACAAAGATTACTAAGCTATCAGAGTACATTGAAATTCAATCCAAGGAAGCTAAAAATCATGATAAAACAATGCAAGAGCTGACAGACAAAATAGCCGGTATAGAAAAGTACATAATCGACCTGACAGAGCTGAAAAACACACTACAATAATTTCTTTTTTTAATATATATTTTTAAAAATACCCATATTTAATCAGCATCATGAAAAGCTAATTTATTCCATCGCTTTTAAATATGTTTTAATTAAATGGCTTCCCTTGAGTAGGATAACACTACTTATCTAGTTGTCTATTTCAGCATTGTAACTTCAACACTAATTAGGATCAAATCCACATGTATCAACACTAACCTTGAATGTAAATGCCCGCAATTAAAAGATATTGAATATATAAACTACTTTAACAAAATGCATATTTTATAATGCTTGTTCTTGAAAATTATATGTCTGTATTTGTTTACATCTCTATTTATACTATCTTATAGATATACTTTTTCTATAAAATTCTTAGAGATATTTTTACATATATACGATAAATTTCTTGTTATTGTTTTTGTTTAAAATTAATTACTAAGGTGTTTTTGAAGCAAAATTATCTAAGACTGATAAACATTTGAAACTCTTACTAGTTATGTTAGCAAAAACTTTTTGTTTATAAGCAAAATGTTGCTTCCTAAAAAATATTGTATTTCTCTAATATTTTTATTAATTCGAAATTGTTTTATATTGATTTCCAAATATTTTAAAGGCTTCGTGTTTTAAAACTCTTCCTTGAAAATAATTTAATATATTTTCTAAGAAGGTGTGTGTGTGTGTGTATGTGTGTGTAAAACTGTCACTGCCTAAAGTAAAAACGTACTATTACATCTTTTTATTTGAAACAGGATTATACTGGTTTAATAATACTCTGGATATGTCTTTATATGTGCCTACACATGCACACATACATACTTCAAATAGGAATGAGAAAATTAAATAATAATGATTTTGTTTACAAATAGTTATTGCCATGTAAATTGTGATCTCATGTTGGGATGTCAAAATAAAACATGGCATATTGGTTGACAACAAGCACATTTAATTCTAACTCTGTTGAATAGCAATTTTAGAGTAGGACTATTCAAGTGAATCTGAGGCATAATGTGTAACAAATTTAAGCAGAACTTTTAGCACATCAGTACTTAATTATAGTATTATTGTTGTTATAATTAATGTTATTGTTTTCTACTGGACATTGATCTTCCACTTTTAACGCTATTTTTTTCCTCTGTTAACCTGAGAAAGAATTAGAAAAGTCAAAAATCTCTTTTGCCTGAAAAGGACAAAATGTATCTTTAAGGATATTAAAACTTTATGACCCTAATTTATCAATGCTGCTAAACATAAACTCTTCTCTGCTCATAAACTTGAACACTTAGGCTAAAAGAAAAGTTAAAGCACTGAATTGTATCTCTCATTCATGAGATGCCAAGGAATCATGGGAATTTTGCCAAATTCCAGATGGCATACTGCAAATAATGAGTGCAGCCATATTTATTACCACGGATTATTTTCAAGTGAGAAGGCATACCCTGTATTGGAAGATAAATACTTTAAAAAAACATAAAATGTTCAATGTTATTGTGGAAAAATAATAAAAAATAAAAACAAACATTGATCTGCTCCTTGGTGTTGAAGTTACAATGCTGAAATAGACAACTAGATAAGTAGTGTTATCCTACTCAAGGGAAGCCATTTAATTAAAACATATTTAAAAGCCATGGAATAAATTAACTTTTCATGATGCTGATTAAATATGGGTACATTTTCCATAGATCACACATACGCAAATAAAATTTTGGGAAAAATTTAAAAATTTGAGTAACGTTGAGAGGTGTTTTATGGTTTACTTTCTTTATGCCTGTTTTGCTGAAATCTTTATTCCATAATTGTCTTACAAGTTATTATTTAGATTATCTAATTCATAATATCAGCAGGTCAAAATAATTATTAGGTTGGTGCAAAAGTAATTGCATTTTGGCCATTACTTTCAATGGCAAAAACCTCAATTACATTGCAAGATATTTACCATGTCTTTTTCAAAATATATTTTGTGTGTGTGTGTTTGTGTGTGTATCTCTGTGTTTATTTTATTGCTTTAGATTTTGCTATCCATCTTATACGTAATACTAATGAGGTGCTTCTTTCCTCTCAAACTTAATGCAATACTTATATACAGATCTCATTCAACAATTATTATCTCATGATTTTAAACAGATTCATGTGCCAGTGAAGAAAAGCATCTGCCAATTTCCAGATGTGTTTTAACTCTTAGATTTTGAGATTTGTCTTACTTTAAAATGGTCAAAATGTAAATGAAGTACTTTCAGTATCATTAATCAGAGCATAAACGTAATGAATCTTATCTAGAACTGACTAACCAGAATGGTGACTTTTTGGAGGCATTTATTTATATATACACATATATGTACATATATACATATGTATATGTGTATATGCACATATGTTTATTCATTTATGTATATGCATATATGCATATTTAACATACCTATGTATATATTTTATACAGATACATACATCTATGTATATATAATATTCATATTTCATAAACACTTTAAAAAGTATGTTAGCATAACCCGCTCTAAGACTGATACAGTGGACCCCAAATTACTTTTTTTGCAGCAATTTTCCCTATTTCTTTATCTACAGAAAACAGCTCAGAGGCAAATTTAGCAAAGACAGTTGAATGGGTGAATTCCATGCCCCCTAGGCAGTTTTTATATCAGTATCTACATTATAAAGCCATGACTTATGTGAAGGTCATTGAGATTTCTATTGTTAGAATAGTAATTTGTTTCAGGGCAGAATGACTAGCAATTCTTATATAGTCTGTGAGCTATGGCAGCAATAATAGGAAAACATTCACATGGTCCATTTACAGGATGAGGTTGCATGAAGTCCATCTGATTACATATAAGTGGTTATTAGAATAGGTTCTCAAACAAGAGTCATAAGAGAGCTACAAATTTTTCAGCCATCTATTTTCAAGTCATTTTATGAGAGTTGTAGTTTCATGCATATTGGGCACTTCATTGTCATTGAATTTGGAACAAAAATAAATGGCACATCCACCGGCCAGTTACAGACTTCTTGGTTCAAGTGTCAATGCAGGCTGTACTATTATAATAACAAAGAAATATTAGAACAGGAAAATAGCTATTGATAACAATCGCTTTCTTTTTGACTCTATAAAATAAGAATGTTAATTCACTACATATATCAGAAGCTCTTGTGAAGTTCTAAAGACAGACATGCTTTGTTATAAGAAAGGCATGCTGTAATTTATCAGCATACAGCCTCAAAGTGTTTAAGTCCTTGGGTGGCTGCAAAAGAAAACTGCAAATGTGCACATGCAAAACTAATCAGAGTATTCATGTAGAGAGACAAATATAAAAGAACATTGTTTTTGTCATGCCAAGACACAAACATCTACATTCCTTAGAATATGATTGCTTATTCATTCATTCTGTTTTAAGACCTCTCTCCCCCACAGCGATCCAAAGGCAAGGTGAACTCACAGAGAGTGACTCCTGAAACAGTGAGAGCTCCTGTGATTTGAAAAAGGCTTCCAGTTGGCCTGAGTAAGGCACTACTGAAAATTATTACCTGAAAGTACAAGTTGGAGAATCAACTGTAAGCTTTCAGAATTCCATTGTAAAAAAATGTTCTTAGGGTTGTATTTATCTATTTTTATTTATGTATTTATTATAATTTTTAATTTTGGGGATTACATAGTAGGTGTATACGTTAATGGAGTACATGAGATATTTTGATAAAAGCATACAATATGTAATAATTACATCAGGGTAAATTGGATATTCATCATCTCAAGCATTTATCATTTGTGTTACAAACATTCTCATTCTACTCTGAGTTATTTTAAAATGTACGGTCAATTATTGCTGACTGTAGGCATGCTATTGTGCTATCAAATACTAGATCTTTTTCATTCTTACTATATGTATGTACCCAATAACCATCTGCATTTCCTGTTCCCCCACACTACCTTTCCCATCCTCTGGTAACCATTGTTTGACTCTCTATCTCCATGAGTTCAATTGGCTTAATTTTTAGCTCCCAGAAATAAGTGAGACCATGTGGTTTGCCTTTCTGTGTCTGGCTTTACTTAGATGTTAATATTAACCAAAAGTTTCCACTAAATGTATGAAATTAAATTTTAGTAGTTTAAAAATGCATAAACATATCAAGGTGTAGTTACTTCAACAAAATGTGATGTTAAGGGAATAATTGGTTAAATATTTTATAAGTTTATCTTTCATTACTGATATATTTTTTGAAAACATTGATATCAATTATCTATTCAAGAGAAAAGTTATGTATTCAATTTACTTATGGCCTGAATTATTAACACTAAAACTGCATTTTAGTTGCATAAGTGAACCAATAAGACTTCAAATTCTTAAGATGGAAGGAAAAAGGAAAGTTAATTTTTAAAATATCTCCTAAATAAACAACTAAAGCAGGCAGAATCAATAGAGACAATAAATTCAATACAGAGGGTAAAAAGTGTTCTGCAATATTTACTTCAAACACCAAAAGAAATTTGATATGAAAATGACAAGTGGTCAATCTAAATTAAAATCCTAGAAGCCAAAAATTTTGGAGACAAATAGAAAGCAAATATTTTGCTACTTCCGCAGCTGCTAGGAAAAAAAAAAAAACACCTTTCTAGAACCCAAACAGAAAAATATATATTTTTTCCATCTATGGTAATTTTAGTGTCCTCTCAAAAGATAATATAATAGAACAGATAAGTTATTTTCTTAGAGATAGAATAGATATCAAGTTTTCATCTAGACAATCCTTCATAATTTTGGTAGATAAAGTATATCTTCCTTGCTTCCACAGATGAAATAATCAAGATTCAGAAAGGCCAGCTAGCCTATCTAGTCACTAAGTGGAATTTTCCTAAGATCAAAAGATATGTATTATTTCTTTAATGTGCACAGAGACAAGAAAGGTGAATTAAAGTAAATTTTACATTATGAGTATAATTGTTTTTAAAAATATCTCATTATTTAAAAACTTAATTTTCTTTTTGTTATTTTTCTATGATATATATTTAATGTTACTTTTAAATAGCTTAGTTCAAAATTTAAAACCTCATATGTACTCTAGGTATATATTTTAGGTATGTACTTTAGGTACCTGTATTTAGGTAGTCCTAAATTTGCACATAATTATATGCATTTGGTAAATGTTCAGTTAAAATAAATTGTAATTAAATAATTAGCATGCACAATCAAGTTCAGAAATATAAATGACCTCTCAAAATAGAAGTAAATATTTTGCAGTATAAAAAATGTCAAGAAGAAACTCCTTTGCTTATGTTACGTTTCTACTAAAATCTATAGATCACTAATACACAGAAAAAATTCATGAATTTCCTAAGATCATAATCAATTTATACAAACCTTTTGGCAAAAAGGTTTATATAAACCTTTTTGGCAAATATATTAAATGAATGATTGAATTATTTACTAGTCTGCATATCTCTGTAATGACATAGAAATTGTTGTTTTCTATAACAAATCAATCAAAACCAATATCTAATATATTAACAACTTTGAAAATATGTTTTCTATGGGAAACATAATTTAAGACCAGCTTACTTCGTTGACTCCCTTGAAATTAGTCCTACAATGGAAAAAATATCACTTCCGTATTTTACAAGTGTACTGAAGCAGGCACAAGGAAAAGGTGGTCTTATTTCACCAATTGTTGAATAAAAATGGGAACTACATTTTTACCTAAGCTATCCTTTTTTATATCTTTAAAATTAAGTAGCATTCTGTTTTTTTTCAAGTACAATAATCACTCTTTTTTTAGTACAATAATCAACATAGTAAATACCTGAAAATATCAAGATGAATTTGAAAATTGGTAATTTTTGTACCTATAGAAAATTTAGCATATATTAAATTATAAATGAGCATACTATTTCTTTATCCTAATTAATTTAGAATTTCTTTTCGTGGGAAAAAAAATTTTGTTCCCTTAAGCTTTCTTTCCTTTTTCAATGAGGACTTGGTAGACAATTGTTATCAAATTTTTATTAATATGTAATATACAAATTATATGTGTGTAACATAGCTAAAAGCTGTAACACTTTCAGTTTAAGCTTTGTTATGTAAAAAACCTAACAGTAACCACTCCCATGTTCTTGACAAAAAAAACAAAAGAAGACAAACAAATTGAAAAATCAATGAATTTTCTTGGACACATCAGTTGATTGAGGTCACACAGAATCCCCTTAATCTCCAAAACTGGAGCGATATGTTACAACAAATAATCACAGCTGAGATCACGTGACATGTGGAAACCATTTCTGATAAAGCTACCATAATCTAGATAATATGGTATTGGGGAAAGCATAGACATATGGATCAATGGAACAGAGTACATGGCTCACATAAATAAGGTGAACTGATCTTTCAGAAAAGATCAAGGCAATTCAATGAGAAAAGATAGAAGTTTTAGCAATGGTGCTATAAAATCGTAAATTTTTCCACATGCAAAAACTTAAACTTTTTTATATGCAAAGCTATGAATCTCAACATTGTCCTTAAACCTTTTGTAAAACTGAACAAAGTTTGGATCATAGATCAAAATGTAAAATGACAAAATATAAAACTTCCAAAAGAAAACATAGGAGAAAGCCAAGTTGACCATAGATTTGGTGACAAGTTTTAGATATAATAGCAAAACAAAGTAATTACAGAAAAATAAGTTGGACATTTTAAAATTAAAAACTTCTGCTCTGTGAAAGATACTATTAAGAGAATTTGAAGACAAGCCACTCACTTGAGAAAATATATGAAAAACCTATATATGATAAAATAATTGCATTTAAATTATACAAAGAATGCTAAAATGCAACAATGAGGAAAAAAGTCCAAATTTAAAAATAGGTAAAAGCTATAAACATACTTTATCAAAGAAAATAATCGTGAAAAGATGCTCAATACCATTTGTCATTAGATAAAATTATATTGTTGCAAATGAAAGCAACAATAAGCTAGTACTATACACTGATTTAAAACATCAAAATCCAAAGACTAACAACACTACATGTTGGTGATGATGCGGAACAACAGCGACTCTCTTTCACTACAGGTAGGACTGTCAGATGGCACAGCCCCTTTGGAAAACATTTTGAAGATTTCTTGTGAAGCTAAACATAGCTGAAGAGAAGATCTGACAGTCATGTTCCTAGATATTAACTGATTTGAAAATGTACATCTATACAAAACCTGATATTTATAAGAATTTTATTCACAATCACTGCAAATGAGAATCCAAAATGTTTTAATAAGTGAATGAATATACAAATTTTATTGTTCATATACAGGAGTATGAATGAATACGCAAATTGTGTGTTCATATACAAGAGTGTTATTCAGCAATGAAGGGAAGTGAGTTATCAAGCCATAAAAAGACCTGCGTGAACCTAAAATGAATACTGTCAAGTGAATCAAGTCAATGTAAAAAAAAAAGACTATATGTCCTGTGATTCCAATTATGTGACATTCTGAAAAGGGTAAAAAGAAAAAAAACTCTAAAAATGTCAGTTATACAAAATAAATAACCATGAGTTCATGTTGTTATAATAAGAGATCAAATGAAATGAATAATTGGAGAAGATACACATCTCCTGTGTAGCAGAATTCTAAATAACGTAGACACTTCCTCCAATGAAAGGGAGGACAAATCCATAGTTTGTAAGTGTAGGCTATGCATAGTGGTTTCAAAGAGTACAGTATAAAAAGGGCTAAAAAATGTAACTTTATAGTGGAAAAACCCAACAAACACTAGCTTAAACATGCCATCGAGGTTAACATCAATGATGAAAAACCTACTGATAATAGGTACCCTTAATATGAAGTGATGAAAACATCTTTACATCTTGTCTTCCTCTCCAAAACCTGTAACTCTAGTCAAACCCTGAGAAAAGCAATAGATTATATAGAGAGGTATCCGACAAAATATCTTACTACTCCTCAAAATATCACTTCTCACAACACTCAAGATCATCAAAAACAAAGACAGTCTAAAAAACTGTCACAGCCAAGAGAAACTGAAAGAAACATGACAACTAAGTGGAATTGTTAACCTAAATGTGATACCGTAAAAGGCAAAGAATATTATTTATAAATTGAGGAAATCAGAGTAACCTATGGACTTTAGTTAATAAGAATGTATCAGTATCAGTCTATTATTTGTAACAAATAAATTAATCATTCTAATATAAGTTGTTGATAACAGGGAAAATTAGGTTCAAGGCATATAGGAATGTTTTGCACTACCTTCCCAATTTTTCTATAAATTCAAAACTTCAAAGTAAATTGTCTTTAAAAACAAATCCATTATCTTCATCAAATTCTTCTCAGAGACTTGGCCAAGTTTTCAGCTAGCTAATAAATATATGTAAGTTTATGAAGGTATGCATACATTATTGTTAAGTCAAAGCATTTATTCAAAGAAATGTGGCATTTTTTTGTTGTTCTCTTTTGCTCTTGCCACAATAGCTATAACAACATGTAGGCTTATTCTGCTCTGCTACTAGCCTCATTCTCCGTTACATGTGCATGCTCACATTCTTCTAATTAGAATCACTAGCTTAAAAAGAAGGTCCAAAATAGTAAGAAATTTCTGTGATACAGAGATGCCAGAAGAAATCTCACACAGTATGTGAGTAAATATCAGGTGCTTTTGAAATAGGTTTGCTAAGATATGTCAATGAATGAACTTAAATAAGGATGGGACAAACAGCTGCCTTAGGGTTAAACTTCATATGTTTATATATTAGGTTGTGTTCTTTGTTACATATTTTCTGCCCTAGAGCCACAAATGACAGTCCCTTTGTAGAACTTTCCTGTTTCGTCAACAGAAAATCCTTGTCCTATATTTCTAAAGCTGTCTTCTTTTTCATTCATTGTCAGAGGATGAAGTGAAAAATAGAAAGGAAACATTATATGGACTACTGTCATTATTTAGAAATTGACAATTTATTTTTAATTTTGAGAATAACTAATGATACTTTAGCTTTTGCCTTCAGTAACAGATATGCATTTATTTGTGGGATTAAATCATAAAGTGACTTTTTTCTTAAGTAAAATCAACAATATATAATATTTAGTCTTAAAAATAAAAAACAATCCATAAATCTGTGTAGGACAAATTCAGACACTCAGTGTTTTGATTTCAACTTGCTCTTTTACAAAACCCAAGGTGATTAGTGTCACTCTCAGTCAGAGCAAGCTGTAGCCGTCCGAACATTTTGGTTTCACAGAAAATCAGTAAGTCAGTTTTGTCAACAAATATTCTTTTTTTTTTTTTTTAATCTTGTCACTCTTAGTCAGAGCAAGATGTAGCGGTCCAAAGATTTTGGTTTCACAGAAAATCAGTAAGCCAGTTTTGTCAACAAATTTTCTTTTTTAAAAATATTTATTTGTTTATTGATAAAGTAATTCATTATTATTTTTGAAAAAAAAAATCCAAAATGTTCTGCGTACATGTTAATGTAGGTTAGGCCATCCAAAAGACAAAGCAAAGCATCAACATTAAGTCATGGGCTAGGATTATACAAATGAGAACAAATACAAGGCTTATGGTACTTGTTAGGTAAACACAACCAAACTAAACTGTACTTCAAGTTTGTTTATATCAGTGTATTAAAGCTCACGTTAAAATAATGTCCATCTTTTCTTTTAAACAGGCATAGACTCATTTGCACTCATGTACAAATATACCTAATAGCTTTCTTTATCTTTTAATACAAAAAGTACAATTCCTTACTTCTTTATGCAACCCAAAAAAATATAGAATGAAGTCATTAGAAAATAGTGAACCTTTCTGAATCTATATTTTTAATTTAAATCAGAAAATACAGTTTAGATCATATGAAACATATGGATTTCAGACATATATTATCTGTTTCTAACAGACTATTAGATACAGTCTTTATTTTGGCTGAAATGCAAAAATATGACTTTCTTAGTAACAGATTAATTAAAAATACTTTCCACTGATAGCAGTGCTAGTCCCTAGAACAAGAGGTAAACAAAACTTATTTGTAAGTTACTGCTATTCAATGCCCAGAATATGTAGATCCTAAATCTAAGCCCTTAATCTACATCTGCTTTAAAGATAACTGAAAGAGATCTCACATGCCTGGTAATCCTTAATTTAAACAGTTCTGCAAACATAGTCAAAATCTGCTTTCCAATAGAAATACAATTCAAGGAAACATTGCATATTGATTTAAACCACCTTACAGTTAAATTCACTCATGACACATTGACTCATAACCACTAATAGGTAAAAATAGTTTTTAAAAAATCATTCGTATGTAAAGATGAAAATAAACTTTGTAAACTTGTTCACTTAAAATAACTAATGTTCTGCAGCTGCTCTTTGGTTTGGCATAGTTTCAGGTACTAAATATTTCAGTAAATTTGTTCCCAGGTAAACCAAGTCTCCCCTCTAATTTGTTTTTAATGGCAATGGCAAGACCTGAACTTCAACTTTATTTTTCTTAAGTGTCATCACAAATGTTCCAATGTTTGAGGGACCAAAGATAGTACTTATAAAATTTTACAGGGCTTCATTTTTATTTTTCTCCCCAAATAGTTGATAGCAATAATCAATACCAATTGAGATAACAAAGAGGCAACCTTTACCTGTTTCCCACACCACTTATAGACCCTTGATAGAATGGTCATTAATACGTATGAATAAGTTCAGCTAAATATTATTTAGAATGTGACAAAATGCTGGCTGTAAATTAAATAAAAAATAAATAATTCAAAGGCTCTAACTGAAAATTTCCTAAAAGATATTGGCTGTGCTATTAAAGATGCTGTTAAATAACAAAAAGAATTGAGAAAGACTACAATACCACAAAAGTGCATAATAGTGAAGAAAAAAAAATGAAGCTTCCTTGGCTGTTAGCCAGGTGCATGCAGCTCTTTTGATCTGATCGTAGAAATACTCACAAAAAGTACAGAAGAACATTTCTGAAAGTAGTCAAGTATGTTTAAATATTTATCTCCTTATAATATGCAAACCGCCAAACTGAAGTTATGTGTTTAGTTGGTAACTGATTTATTTTTATTTATTTATTTTAGCTGGAGTTTCACTTTTGGTGCCCGGATTGAAGTGCAGTGGCACGATCTTGGTTCACCGCAACCTCCGCCTCCTGGGTTCAAGCGACTCTCCTACTTCTGCCTCCCGAGCAGCTGGGACCACAGGCATGTGCCACCATGCCTGGACAGTTTTTCTTTTTTTGTATTTTTTAGTAGAGATGGGGTCCCGCCATCCCGGCCAGGCTAGTCTCCAACCCCTGACCCCAGGGGATCCACCAGCCTCGGCCCCGCAAAGTGCTGGGATCATAGGCATGAGCCACTGCACCTGGCAATAATTGGTATCTCTTAACTCTCATTCTAGTTTGCTAGACTCGAGATTAAGACTAAGGAGTTGAAACAAAGGTAGAAGAATCCATTCTATAGTATTCCAAACTATGTTTTCAAAGTTAATTCATTCCTTTGGTTCAAAGAGAAAAAAAATTACCTCCTTTTAAAATCTAACATTAGTATGGCTGATGGAAATTAGACCAATCTTACAAATTATAAACCTAAAGTAGCAACCATAAAATTTTTGCTGTACTAGGAAATAATAGAGCTATCCCTCTGTATTGTTTAGCATATAGAAGGTACTCCAAAAAAATGTATTGGGGCTGGGCGTGGTGGCTCACACCTGCAATCCCAGCACCATGGGAGGCCGAGGCGAGTGGACCACCCGATGCCAAGAGTTCCAGACCAGCCCGGCCAACACGGCAAAATCTTGTCTCTACCAAAAATATAAAAATTAGTTGGGCGTGGTGGCATGAGCGGGCAATCCCAGCAACTCGGGAAGCCGAGGCAGGAGAATCTCTCAAACCCAGGAGGCGGAGACCACAGCGACCCAAGACCCAGCCACTGCACTCCAGGCCGGGAGACAGAGCAAGACTCTGTCAAAAAAAAAAAAAAAAAAAAAAAAATTATTGGGTGAATGAAAAGTGATTCTGCAAAATTAGGCATCACAGAATGTTAGAAGTCATCCAGTCCAACTCATTCATAACACACCCTTCCCCTGCAGTCCCATTTTACAGACAAGAAACTCCAACCTGGAGTACTCACAGATGCTACTGAGATTCATCTCCACCCACTAACTGAAAGCAATCAATTATTTTGGAGTACGTATGTGTCTGACTAAAAAGTATAAATGAGGAGTAACATTTCTACATTGCTTATTCTGTACTTTTCTTTGGAGTTGATGCGACAACTCCTGTCACTTAGATTAGATTTTACAAGGAAAAAGGAGTCCTAAAGGGGTTGCTTTTAGGAAGTCAGATTTAAGATTGTGCATCTAAGAGTGGATAGAATCCACTTCTCAGAGACGGGATGTTAAATGACCACTCGGGTTAGAATAACTAACTGACAGCCAGGAGGAAAACTTATCCTAAAGTTTTTTTTTTTCTTTTTTTTTTTTTTGCCTAGTTTGAATTGCATTTTAAGTCACGTTTAAGCTGTTACAGAATTACTCTAAAAGTTTCAAAGTAATTTTTGGTCATTACCTACACTGAAATTTGAAAGTCACGTCAACAGCATTCTTTATTCTAACTACCATTAAAACTCAAACTATTATTTTAACAGATGACAACATTCCTCTTAGCTTTTCTTCTGAACACTTACACCTCTTCCTACTGTGTCCAGTATTTCTCCAGCACATGTACCTCTGTGTTTCTCTGCCCATGGACATACCCCTGAAATTTCAACCAAAAAAGTCATAAAAAAGCAGAGAGAACCCAAAATATTTCTTACACTGCCGAGTTCCCTTTAAGCCTTGAGTACATGCTCCGCTACATGGTTGTATTACTGCTTATAACTAAGCTTTCAATGCATTAGACCAAAGTGTTCTATGTTCTAAATGATGTTTAGATATCTGAATCCTTCTGTTACAGCCAACAATAAAAATGTGATTTAAAATGTTGAAAAGTACAAAATAGTAATTATAAATTAGCAAATGCCCAATTTAAAAAAGCAGTTTTCCTTATACAGTACAAGCAATGGTAATTTGGATATTATTCACTTTCAGTCATCATTTGCCCTAGATGTACTTAAGACAAGTTTTTAAGCTTGTGTTTTTGGAGTGAAAATTTACATGGATACTCACAATGCTAATAATGTAATTCAGGTATTGAAAAATACATTTACATGTTAAAATGTGATGATAGCTCATTATAGCATCTCATAACAGGTAAGAGTTATTTCCAGAATAACATTAAGTCACTTTTGTAGCTCTAAGTCAATGCTGCACAAATGGACACTTAAGATTAAGGCATCGTCCTGCTCTGGAGTAGTGCTTCTGTGGATCCCAGGAACTGTACAAAGGCTTTCTTTTTTAAAAAAATGTCTTCTGTTATACTTCAATTATTTCATTCCATTGATCATTTTCTTGCAAATGAAATTGAAAACATCAGTCTATAATGTTTTCATACACCTGGTATGACGATGCCTTCTTCAGCTCTATTCTCTAGCCACTGAGTGAAAATTCACTGTCCAACAAGAGTTTTTTGGATTCACTAAGTGGTTTGAAAGGAAAAGGCTGATTTGAGCCACTTCTGGCATACTCATTCTGGTTTGTAACAGAAGCTTGTTCTGGACCCATCCCTACAAGGCGAGTTGGAAACTGCAACCATCACCCAAGCTTGAAAATATTGAAAGTAGCCAATATTTCTTTTCATCACCAAAGACTTGTCTCCAATTTTTATTGTATCTAAGAGAGAAACCATTTCCATCAGGTCCACATGAAAATGTGGGTGCAGAGAATGATTCTATTGTTGTCCTATTTTTTCCAACTAGCCAGCAGTGGTAGCTGAAAAGTGAGAGGACGCTGATGAAGAACATTGCAGACACAAAGAAAAGAAAAAGTACGTGGAATTTTGCACGCGTATCTGTCAGTTCATTCGTCCAAAATTTTATAAAGTACTCTAAAACTGTAGGCAGCCACGAAAAGGCAATATAATAGGGAATACAATAAAAACAGCAGGAAGAATTTGTAATTAGAAAATCCCACACAGTTATTCACCCAAGGACAGTGATGATCCATCTTAAGAATACATGAGTCACATGTTGAGCAGTGATGCGCCCGATCAGGTTTAATCAGCTGACATTTTTCACAATATCTGATAGTTTTTGAAACTGGCGTGGTACAGATAGGTAAAGCTCTTGCTGCTCTTCTCAAAATTTCTTGTTGTCTTTCTTGGCTGAATTCTTTTCCATAACGTTCCTTTTCAGAATTGGACAAGTAGAATTCTTTGGAGGGGGAAGCAGGAGATGTGAAAATTGTCATCCAATAGGACCATACAAACATAAAAAAAACAGAGGGAAAGCCACAAGGTAAAACACGGTCTTTCCATTTTCTTCATTTCCAAAAATAGTAAACACGCACAGCTCCACCACGTACGCGTAGTAGGACCAGATGACCACGAAGGTGATGAGGAGCACCGGCACCCAGCCCATGACGCAGTGGCAGCAGCGAGACAGCGTCCAGGGCGCCATGTTCAGCTGGAGGCTGCCGACCCCCGCGTCCCACCGTTCTGGGGAGCGCAGGAGCCCTGGCTGGGCGGCAACTCAGACGCTCTGGGCTGCTCCTGGCCCAGCTTCCCCGCCTTCGAGGCAGGGCTTGTGGGAGCAAAAGTCCGAGGCGCCGCCTGGACTCCTCCCCTCCAGGCACCAGGCCAGGTCCCGCCCCCACCTCACATCCCACCGCCACGCGTCAGTCCCCAGCCGCCCGCCCTGAACTTGCCAGCCCTGGGCCGCGTGTCGCCCCTGGTCTCCGCGCCGTTGAGGGGGCAACAAATTTTCTTTATTTTTAAAATAAAACCTACATTATTGTATTCTGCACCTTTGTTACGTACCCGCAAGTATCAAACTGGTGAGAATGTCAGTTCTAACAAAGTCAACAAGCATGATGTTGGCATATATTGACCTCCGGGCTTACTTCTGAAGGCCCTTCCACTTACATCAATTTGCTGTTTCCAGTTCAACTTCATTATATCATCTCTAATTCAATATTTTGTCCAATATTTTATTTTCAGTTTCTACAAAACATTTTGCCTTTTTTATTTTATAATATTTCTTTTCTAATCACTTTTATAATGTATGTAAATGTTGATTTCAGAAATCAAGTTTTTTTTTTTAATTCTAAAGACTGATGAAAAAAGAGGCAAGTTAACTTTGAATACCCTGGTTATTCTCTTTCTCTTTCTCACTCTACATAATGTATACAGAAATATATATCTACATATATAATGTATATAGAAATATATGTATACATATTATATTAATATGTATAAAATGTTATATGTGTTGAGCCTAATGTTCTGTGAAATAGACTTATATAAAATGGAATATATATACCTAATAATTCAAAAGTTTACTTGGGGTTACATTATCTTCTAGATCAGGTTAAAGAAAGCAAGCAATTAAAAATTATGTTTTGTTATGAAAATTGTGAGATATATTATTTAGTCTGCCTGAGATAGTCTAGCTTTATGCCTGATGTTAAGATAATTGATAGTTTTGATAATGACAGGAGAGAAATTTCTAGGCTGATAGGGGTGGGTCCCCGTGAAACCAGACCTTCAAACCAAAGACAATTTAAAGCCTGAAAACTGAGCTACCAGTTCCAGGTAGAGTCCACGCCCAGAGGGAAAACTTCCTTGATGCTTTTTAGCCATTCAAATGGTGCTTTATCTAGGCCCACCCATGGACCAATCAGCAGCCTCGCCCCCATTCTGAGCACATAAAAATCCCCAGACTCAGCCACACGTTGAGCTTCCTGCTTTCAAGCCCCTCTCACAGAGAGGGCTACCCAGTTAGGGTCTCCTCTCATTGTGGAGACCTTTTCTGTCACTTAATACAATTCTTCATCTCCTTGCTCACTCTCTGGTGTCCGCATACCTCATTCCTCCTGGACACAAGACAAGAGCCCGAAACCTGCTGAATGGCAGGTGCAAAAGCTGTTAACATCGTAACCCTCCCTCCCACTCACTGAACAATGGGGGAGAAAAAGCCTCTGGGTACCACATGCTCCCATTCACTGAACTGTGGGAGTGAAAAGCTGTGACCCTTTTGTGGGCCCAGACCTGGAGACTCTCCGAGTCAGAGCTACAGCATGCCCCTATTCACTGTGCTGCAGGCAGTGGGAACAAACATGAGCTGTCACACAAATGAGCTGTAACATACCCCCCACCATTCGCCACACTGCAGGTGGCAGGAAGGAGAGAGAGCTGCAACAGTCCTTGGGGGCTCAGACCTTAGGACTCCTCAAGTGAGAGCCATAACACCTCTTGGGGTTCCACGGTTGCTGACATCTCCAAGTTTTTGGGTGTCACCACATTCCTCTTAACCAGCCTCCAGCGCCCAAGGTGGAAGCAGGTCGCAGCACGCCAGGTTCAGCCGTGGGCTACATCTGAGTACAGGATCAGGGCCGGGAGCAAGCTGAGTGCAGTCCACCAGGCCAAGTGGGTGGAGTGAGCCCAGTGGCGAGCCCATAACCGAGCAAAGCCCAAGCAGGGGTGCCACTGGCTGCAGAGATTTCTGGCTGGTGAAGCGGCACTGAAAGACTCCTGTGTCAGTTTTCCCTTTTACTCCCAGAAATGTTTCATTTTAGAAGGTGTATTATACAATATCTTGATAGAAGGGATTTCAGAAACCACCTTTCATTGTTACCTCTTTCTGCATTTCTTCAAAAGCGAAGGTTCTGCTCTTTAAAAAAAAAAATGTCTGCCCTCTACAGTAATTTGTATTATTGTGTAAATATAAAACATTGGTGCAAAGTCTGATTACTCCAGGTAGTATTAGGAATCATCCCATAATTTTATGTAATAAAGATTTTCTGCTGGATGCACCTTAGTCTAAAAATTAAAATAGCACTATTAAAGGAAATATCTTTTTGCATTACAGAAAATTTTTATTTAAATAAGGAAAATCAAAGCATATTTAAAATCTAATGAAAAGACATTTTTGTAAGTTTCAATAAGTGCTGACTCTTTAATTATGAATTTAAGTATGGAAAAGTGTAAATTAAGTGTAATTTAGCTCAAAAAAGTACGTGTATACATGCTGTTTCAAAATTACTTACTTTGAAATAATTTTTGATCTATAGAAGATGTAAAAATATAATACAGAATTTTCTGTACACTTTACCCAGCTTCCCTTGATGTTAACACCTTGTATAATCAAAGAACAGCAAAGTACAGGCAGCATTTGGATATCCCCACACTTTTTACTGGTGTTTATTCAATTTCAGGATCAAATCTAGGACACTACTTTGCATTTTACTGACATGCCATCTCAGTCACCTCCAACCTGTAACAGTTTTTCATACCCTTTTATTGTTTTTATGACCTTGAATCGTTTGAAGATTTCTGCCCAGGTATTTTGTAGATTGCCCATTGAATTGTGTTTATTTAATGTATATTAAGGTTACAGATTTGAGGAAGAGTACCATAGGTGACTTCATCACATCATATGTAACGTCAACATGCTGTCAACATGACTTAAACTTGGTGACATTAATCTTGATCTACTAGTTAAGGTGACGTGTGCCATAACATAGTTACTACTTTTCATTCCCATACTTACATTCTGGAAGCAAGTTAATAAATTCAGATCACACTTAAGGGAAATAAATTAATCTCCACCTCCTGAAGGGAGAATTATCAAATAATTTGGAGGCAGATGCTAAAACCACTACACTAATTAGAATTATTTTTGGAGAGATGTTTTGAGGCTATGCACGTATTTTGTGTCTTAAAATTTTACTCACCATTCCACGAAATCACTGGAATTGGCTACAACAGTTGTTACTGTGGTGTTCTGATGGTGTTTCTCTTTCTCTAATTGTTTATAAATTTATTATTTGGAAATCTTCTGAAAAGAAGTCTTTCCTTTTACTCACACTAATTTAATCCATTATTTGTTTACAAGGGGAGAAATTACAGATGTTTGTTACTTTTGTTATAACCCAATACTCTAGCCATTTAATTTGTTGATCAAATTATTTAGCCTTGGATAAGAATCTCTTTCCAGTTGCGTCTTGTCTGTGTTTTTTAACCTTTCTTGTTTTATGGGTCATAATGTATGTTCCTTCCTCAGCCTTAGAATCAAACGTCAATAAAAAGAGCCTTTGATTCTTTTCTTCAAAAACTAAGATGTAGGTGCAAAATATGCTCATTGTTCCTGGTATGTCCCTACTTTTAGTCTGTCTCAGTAGAAAGAGCTAGCAGTCTACATATACTTACAAATCCATGTATATGTGTATGTCTACAAACATCTCTATATTTATCTACAAATATACCTTTTTTCAACTTTTAGGTTCAGAGGGTACATGTGTAGGTTTCTTACATAGGTAAATTGTGTGTTGTAGGTGTTTAGTGTACAGATTATATTTTTCACAAGTACTCAATATGCAGTTTTTTTATCTTCACCCTCCTCCCACCCTCCACACTCAAGTAGGGCCCCGTGTCTGTTGCTACTTACTTTGTGTCCATGTGTACTCAATGTTTATCTCCCACTTATAAGAGAGAACATAGGGTATTTGGTTTTCTGTTCTTGCATTAATTCACTTAAGATAATGACCTCAAGCTTCATCTATGTTGCTGCAAAGAACAAGATTTAACTGTTTTGTATAGCTGCATACTATTCCATGGTGTATATGTATCACATTTTATTTATCCAGTCCACTGTTGATGGGCATCTAGGTTGATTTCATGTCTTTTCTATTGTGAATAGTACTGTGATGAATGTATGAGTACATGTGTTTTTGTGGTAGAATTATTTATATTCCTTTGGGTGTATACCCAGCAATGATATTGCTGGGTTGAATGGTAGTTCTGTTTTACGTTCTTTGAGAAATTAAATTGATTTCACAGTGGCTGAACTGGTTTACATTCCCACCAGCAGTGTATAAGTATTTCCTTTTCTCTGCAACAGCCAGTATCTGTTATTTTTTGACTTTTTAATATTAGCCATTCTGACTGGCATGAGACGGTATCTCACTGTGGTTTTGATTTGCATTTCTCTACAAAACTTTTAAATAATAATTAGAAACTATTCTCAAACTATTCTAAAACGTGAAGGGGAGGAAATGCTTCCAAACTTATTCTGGGAGGCTATTATAACCCTGAAAACAAAACCAAATAAGAACAAAAAAAAGGAAGCTACAGGCTAACATCCCCAGTAAACGTGATGCAAAAATCCTTAACAAAGTACTAGAAAACTAAATCCAACACCACATCAAAAGGATTATATGTTATAATCAAGTTTGATTTATCCCAGGGATGCAAGAATGGTTTAACATATGCAAATCAATAAACATAAAACATAACATCAAAAGAATAAAGAAGAAAAACCATATGATTATCTCAATAGACATGGAAAAAGCATTTGATGAAATTCAGCATCCTTCAAATTAGGCATAGAAGGAATGAATCTCATGAATATTGCAACAATACATGGCAAACCCACAGCTATCATCCTTAATGGGGAAAAGTTGAAAGCTTTTCCTCTAAGAACTGGAAAAACAAAAGAATTCTTATTTTCACCACTCTTAGTCAACATAGTACTCGAAGTCTTAGCCAGAGTAATTAGGGAAGAGAAATAAATAGTGTTTAAATTAAAAAGGAGGTAGTCAAATTGTCCCTGTTTCCAGCGGACATGTTCTTTTGTACAGAAAAACCTAAAAATTCTTCCAAAAAATTCCTAGAACAGATAAATGAGTTCAGTAAAGTTGAGGGCACAAAATCAACATACAAAATCAGGAGAATTTCTGTACAACAATAACAAAATATCAGGAAAAAATCAAGAAAGCAATCCAATTTACAATAGCTGCAAAAAATACTCAGAAATCAATTTAACCTAGGAAGTTAAAGATCTCTACAATAAACATTACAAAACATTCATGCAGAAAATTGAAAAGAATACACACAAAATGGAGAGTGATCTCTTGTTCATGGTTTGGAAAAATTAATATTGTTAAAATGACCATATTACCCAACTGGTCTATAGATTGAAGGCAATCCCTTTGAAAATACCAATGACATTTTTCACAGAAGTAAGAAAAAAAGTCATGAAATTCGTATGGAACCACACAACACTTCAAATAGTCAAAACAATTCTAAGCAAAAAGAACACATCTGGTGATCACAATAACTGACTTTCAAATATACTATAAAGCTATATAGTAAATAAAACAGCATGCATGATACTGGCATAAACAAAAACATACAGAGCAAAGGAACAGAATAGAGAACCCAGAAGTAAATTCACGTATTTACAGCTAACTGATTTTTGGCAAAGGCACCAAGAACACACAGTGAAGAAAGGACAATCTTTTCAAAAAATGATGTTGGGAAGACTGGATATCCATAGGTAGCAGAATAAAACTAGACCTCTTCTCTCAAGTAAAGAGGGAAAATTTATATCAAATAAAAATGAATTAAAGACTTAAATGTTAAGACCTAAAACTATAGAACTTCTAGAAGAAAATATGGGAGAAATGCCTCAGGATATTGGTGTGGGAAAAGATTTCATGGATGAGACCTCAAATGATTTCATGGATAAGACCTCAAATGCATAGGCAACAAAAATCAAAGTATGAAAATGTGATTATATCAAACTAAAAAGTCTCTGTGTAGCAAAGGAAACAATCATCAGAGACAATATGCAAAATGAGGGAAAATATTTGCAAACTATTCATTTGACAAGGGATTAATATCCAGAATATACAAGGAACTTAAATATCTCAACAGGAAAAAAAAACCTACAAATAATGCAATTAGAAAATAGGCAAATAATCTAAATAGGTATTTCTCAATGAAATCGTATAAATGGCCAACAAGTATAAGAAAACGTTATAAATATCACCAATCATCAGAGAAATGCAAATCAAATCATAACAACAGTGAGATGTCATGTCTCCCCCATTAGAATAGCTATTATCTAAAAGACTGACCCCCCGTCCCCCCAAAAATGCTGCAGATAATGCAGAGAAAAGGGAACTCTTATATACTATTGGGGGGAATGTAAATTTGCACAACCGTATGGAAAACAGTATGGAGGTTTCTTAAAAAACTAAACATAGTATTAACATATGATTTACTAATCTGACTACTGGGTATATATACAAATGAAGGGAAATCAGTATATTAAAGAGATATCTGCACCCCCATGAGTATTGCAGCACTATTCACAACAGCCAAGACATTCAATCAACTTAAGTGTCCATCAACAGATGAAACGATTTTTAAAATGTGGTATACATACACAATGGAATAATACCCAGTCATAAAAAGAAAGATGTCTTGTAATTTGTGGCAACATGAATGAGCTTGGTGGACATTATGCTAAGCAAAATAAACCAGGCACAAGAAGATAAATGCTACATGTATTCACTCGTACGTGGAATTTCAAAAAATTAATCGCTTAGAAGTAGAGAGTAGGATAGTGGTTACTAGAGGCTGAACAGGGGATGTGGCAGGGAAACAGACAGAGGCTGGCTAAAGGAAATAAATTACACTGAGGAGGAATAAGTGCTAGTGTTCTACATCATAGTAGGGTGATTATAGTTAACAATAATTTATTGTATGTTTTCAAATAGCTAGAAGAGAGGATTTTGAATATTCCCAACACAAAAATAATAAATTTTTGAAGTGATGGATATGCTGATTATCCTGAATTGATCATTACACATTTCATATACATGCATTGAAAAATCACTCTATATACAATAAATATGTACAACTATGTGTCAACTAGAAATTTTTAAAAAATACAATTTTAAAAATACAGATAACATATCAGAATTGCCCAAAAAGGATTTACACTTTTAGCAACTCCATTATTGCCTCTAACATATGGTTTATAGATGAAGAAACTGAGGCTTGAAAAGTTAATGAATTGTTTTCAAGTTTATGGAGTTAGAATGGCTAAGTTAAAATTTCAGCCTTGTTTTTTGTGACTCCATAGCCCAGGAACTCTTACTAACTTTCTGTAATTTAAGTGACTTTTATTTGTATACTGACTAAAAATGACTTGAAATTATCCTCCTTTTCTTAACAAGTGACTTCTAGTGAGGCTAGAGATACAGCCAAATTCCGTAAATTGAACTCTGTTGTACCTAGCTCTACCTCTGTTCACTAGATCAGTGTTTTTCAAATTGTGAGTTTAAAATTAGTTTAATGAGTTATGACTTGTCTTTAAAAATAAAGAAAAGATAGAATATGACAGCAGGTATAAAATTAACATATTATTTCAGATATGTATGTATACATATATATTTCGGTATGCTTATGGGTAACATGAAGGAAAACAGGGCTAGGTGTGGTGATCACGCCTGTAATCTTAGCACTTTGTGAGACCGAGGTGGGAGGATCACTTGAGGCCAGGAGTTTGAGACCAGCCTGGGCAATGTAGCAACACCCCATCTTCTACAAAAAATGAAATTAGGTGTGTTGCGGGAGAATCACTTGAGCCTGGGAGATTGAAGCTGCAGTGATCCGTGATTGCACCACTGCAGAAGGCCTAGGCAACAGAGACACTGTCTTAAAAAAAATAAAAAAGAAAAGCAAAAGAAAAAAGTGAAAAACAGATTTGTCACTATGAACAAATATTTTTAAAAGCCAGTGCATTAAATAATGACATTAGCAATATTAAAGTTTATGTTAAGGTAAGAGAAGTAAGAGGAGTCTGGTGTCTCAAAAATATGTAGTAATTGTGGAAATAAATAAAAACAAAGTTTAAGAAGGCTCTTAATAGCTATGACATCAATAACAGTACCAGTAAAAACAAATCAGGTATCTTTATAATTTGTTTCATTTAGTCCTCTCAAAAATTCTGTGACACAGGTCTTATTTAATCCCTTTTGCATAGATGATGAAATTGAAGGATAAATGTTTAAATAACTTGCCTAAGATTATTTAGCAAATAATAAGGCTACAACAAGGGCTTCTTACACCTGCTGGATGCCAAAACCTAAGGTCTTTCTTGAAGCCTTGTGCCCTGCTAAGAGGTAATAAGTACTACTCTCACAGTGCACTTTTCCAGGAATACATTTGTGTCAATATATACAAGGATGCAATAGGGAAACAGCAGAATGTACTGGTTTTCACAGTTATTTGAATCATGCCGAGCCTCCTGACATATAATTACCTACCTGGTTGGAAACCCATCGCAGGAATAACTAGTTTCAAAACTGATATGGAAAGTTTATTCCATGGAAGATTATGCAGGAATTTTATAACAAGACAGTTATGAATAGATAAGAACAGAAGCATCCAACAATAGTGAACCTATTTTAATATATTTTAAATACAATTATATTAGGCAGCTATTTTTAAATGATGTTATAAAATTATTTAACAACAGAAATGAATTAATAGTGTGACATGCAGAAAAAAGCAAGCTATAAAATAATTTTATCCTATTTATTAAAAATAAGAAGTATCCCTGTACATTCACATCTATTTGGTTTCTGCTTTTGGATAAGAAGAATTCAGAGAGTGAGTCTGAATATTGAGTTTGAGGGATGCCAAATTATCCAAATCTATTTGGTTGCTGCGTTTTGAATATCAAACAGTAAGAGTTTAAAGATTGAAGGATTCATATGAAACACATCTAATTTTTTTTAAGTTTGGATAGTGGGAGTTCAAAAAGAAAATACACACACATTTTTATAAGCAAAGTATGGGGACACAGAGAAAGTGAACCTTAAAGACTAGTAGATTCTCATCACCAAGCAGATACTCAAATCTGAAGCCTATGCTCTTTGAGTGATAAGCGGGGATAGATTCCTGTCTCTATTTTAATTTTTGTTTCGGTACATTTAAAATTTTCACTGGGTATGTGCAGTTGACTTTACCTTATTTAAATGTACATAAAGGCCGGGTGCAGTGGCTCACGCCTATAATCCCAGCAATTTGAGAGGCCGAGGCAGGCGGATTACCAAAAGTCAGGAGTTTGAGACCAGTCTGGCCAAGATGGTGAAATCCCGTCTTTACTAAAAATACAAAAATTTGCCGGTTATGGGGCACATGCCTGTAGTCCCGTTTGCTCAGGAGGCTGAGGCAGGAGAATGGCCTGAATCTGGGAGGTGGAGGTTACAGTGAGCCGAGATTATACCACTGCACTCCAGCCTGGGTGACAGAGAGGGACTCCATCTAAAAAAAAGTAATAATAATAATAATAAATAAATAAATGTACATAAAGTAGAGCTTCATTGTATATGTCTGTCTGTATATAATATGTATATATGTGTGTACATGTATTTATTTTAAAATAGTTTATATAGAAGAAGATCTAGAAGGCTATATGGCATAATAGTCATGATGGTTATCTTCAGGGGGTGAGAGTAGAGTAGATTTTACTTTTCTTAACTTTGCTTAGTTATATTTTCCAAATGCTCTCATAGTGAACTTATATTGTTCTATGATGAGTTATAGTTACCTGATATAGTAAACACAAACAAATGCAAAATCTTTGTTTTGGGATAAGAACATTAACATTTAATTTACAACAGCTCTATTTTATGAGCTCATGGATTAAATAAAAAGAACTGTCTAGTTTTACCTCTAGAGCTTTCTGTTGCAACAAGTCACATTCTTCTTTTTCTTTGCCAACAAGCCACACTTCCCACGGTGTCATGCTGCTTTCTAGTAAGCGCACCTGTTTCTATTTTATTATCTTCTGATCCAACCTCATTGCTACAAAATAGAGACTACTATAGCAGTTGTACACGACACTCTTTTGCTTACTACTCAAAATCACTTAGTTGTACAGTAAATGGAAAATTTAATAATATATTTACAATATTGTGATTTCATAGATACAAATGAATTAATTATATGTAAGTACGCATTTAAAAATCATGAAAAGGAAGTCCAATATTTGAATTAATTTATTCATCAAACTGCCTTTGAATTCCTTCATCTTATAAAACCAAATTATTTAAAATTGAATTGAAATAAGCCACACCCAATCCTCACTGCCAATAATTTTTTATTCTTAAAAATATGTTTTGGGTAACTAATTACAACACATAACCCTGATTAGATATTGGAGCAGACTTTTTTCTTTTCCTCCCTTAAATATATCAGAAAAAAAGAATATGTATATAAATAGAATGATAAATCAAATGTACTGACAATTACAGATTCTAGATGAAGGATAAACATAAGTTACTTATGCTTTTCTTGCAACTTTTCTGTAAGTTTGAAATTGTTTTGGAGTAAAGACACAATAAATAACATTCTGTATCTTCAAATTAAATAAATTACTAAGGAATTTTTAAAAATGTGTCTACTATGATTATGGATTATTTTATCTCCATATATTTGTCTAATTTTGCTTTATATTTTAAGCCAAATAATTAGATGCCTGAAATTTACAATTTTTTTTTTTTACTGGTGAATTGAAAGTGTTATAAATTGACTACTTTTATCTATATGTCTCTCTGTCTTTTGATCCTTCCATCTGTCCATATATTCCCCTCTTTTTTTTAAATACCCAAAAGTCTATCAACATAGTTCCAAAAGCTTTCCTTGGATTATGCACAAATATTTTTTGTACTTTCATCTTAAGCACCACATTTTAGAGAAGAATAATCCTATTTTATAATCTTTATCTTCCATTGGACTTTTATGTTATTTTCATGTAATGTAATTACTGATACATTTGGCTTAAATCTGCCATTTTCCTAATTATTTTCACTATTTTCTAGCTTGCTTTTTGATTGATACCATTTTATAATTTATTTTGTCCTCATCCTGTTTCACTACAACCTGTTATTTCTTGCTTACGTAACACATCATTTGAGATCAAGAGAGCTCTGCTCCACCAGTTTTTCATTCTTAGTTCTAAGTTAAAAGAACAACCCCTATCTGGTTCATGAAGTTTTCCTAGCACAGAAAATAAAATGTTGATGAAGCCCTGTAATGGTTTTTAAAACTTGCTGAAAGGGAATATGCCACTTTCATGTACATTTCACTCTCTAAAATAAACCCTTGACTCTGTATGTCATTGGAAGCAGGTTTCTTTCTCAAGAAAAGGCACCACCAGTCAGATGTCAACAGACAGAATTAAAAATCCCCTCTACAAGCAAGTGTGAATAATTGCAAATATTTATATAACCTACCACAGTTTAGTAGTTTATACCTTGTTTTTAATATGCTGTTGATATCCATCTATCATATTTAAATTTCTACATACACATAAGGTATTACCACTTTTTATTCATTTTTAATTTAGATTTACTTTTTATTGTTCATAAAAAATTTTACAACTCTAACCATACTTATGGTGTAATTTTCTTAGACCCTAATGAAAATAATTTAGTATTCCTTTTATTGCAAGTCAGCTTGTAATCAGTTCTCTAGTTTGCCTAAAATGCCCTTTATCATCTTCTTTTCCAAAGGATACATTTTTTGAATAAAGAATTCTACAAGATTAATCATTTTCTTTCAAAATTTTGTAGATATTGTTCTCTCATTTTCTTGTTCCAATTGTCTCTTTTGAGAAGTCATCTGTAAGTGTACATATTGCTTATATGATGGCAAAACATTTTATTTGAAGGTAGTTTATATAAGGTTTTTCTCACTGTCTTTGGCTTTCATCAGTTTACTATTGTTTGCCTCGGTATAGAAGAATATTGAGTTACTCTTTTTGATATTCCTAGAAAGTTTGTTACTTCCTAATATTTTATTTAGTATTAGAAAGTTCTGAGCCATTTCTCTTCAATTATTTATTTGGACAATAAAAATCTTAAGTACCACCAAATGAAATGTTCTTTAAATTGAATTCTAGTATATTTTCACCATTTATTGTGAACATACTATATGTCAGATTAAGTAATACTTAATTTTTGTATTTTATTTAATTAATAGAATTTCCATACAATGTAGGTTGTATTGTTCTATTTTATAGATAAAGACTCAAAAGTCATAATCTATTATACTAATTCAAATGGCTTTTTGAGAGTGTTTCTGAATTATAAGCTCATTGATTTTAGGTCACTAAATTTATGGTCTTTTGATTAAAGATGTTCAAATTCCTCTGCTAGAATATTATTGAAATATTGTGAAATATAATCATATTCACAACTCTATTAGTAAAGTAAAGGTTATTTAAAAACTAAATGTTTATTTTGTGCCACTGTGTTAGAAACCCTATAAATTTGTCTTATCAAAATTTGTACCAACATTATCTATTCATAGGTTAAAAAAAAAAACTAATATTACAGGGATTGAGTATCTTGCCTATAACCAGCATAGCTAAGTCCAAGTGAATTACAACCTGTACTATTAGATATAATACTATAATGACATCAGGAAAAAAGCAGAAAGAAAAGACAAAAACGCAAAAACCTTAAAGTTTCTCAATGTTAAAGAAAAGATCAGAAAAGAGATTGATCTGATCAGACTTGCTAACTGATGAGCTGATAGCCTGGTAATTAAGAAAACCACAATCTGAGGTTACGTGTTGTTTTAAAACTTGACTTTCAGTAATTTGCTAAAGAATTAAATAATTCACTAATGCAATAATATTTAACCCTTATTAAATAATGGATGTTTTCTTTTAGTAGAGTTGAGTAAATACTTCTGTTTTTAAATAAGAATGGAAATGTTGCACTTGGATTATAGGGATATTTAAATTTCCTAAATGAAATTTCTAGATTGCAGAAGTACTTTACGATTTTTTTTCTTGTTTACTTAAACTGGTAAAATATTTTTGAAATATATGGCATATGAATAATAAAAGTAGCAGCTTTGATTCTGAGAAATGAGTGAGACTATAAACAGGACTTCACTATTCCAGACAATTTATAATCTATGTTAGCATATAAATGTGAGTGTGAGTGTGTATGTGTGTGTGTGTGAAGGAAATAATACAATGGAAAGACAATATATGATATATTGTGTTTTTCTTATGTTGGCTGCCAGACTGTTACACTAAATTATTTAGTATTTAAGGTCATTACTTATGTGCTATGCTTTACACATCTAACATGAATAGAAAAATTAACTGAAAACAACTGTGTTTCTTTAGGTCTTTTATGTAAACAACTAATACAAACTTATTTCACAGAATGAATTTTCCTTTTAGTTTGTATTACCACAAATGGCTAAAACTTTGATTACTTTTTTCTACTTTTAAATTTTCCCCTAAATACAATACCCTGTGTTAACTGGAATGTGCTTTTCAACAGGATATGTACTTAATTGGCACCATTTCCAAGGAACTAAATTAAATCTGATGACATGGTCTCCCATTTAACTGGAATGGTAATTCCTCTTAATAGGGACACTTGCAGATAATTACGTGAGGTTAAAATGGGGCTGTGGGTCCATAGGAGGCTCGAAGATTGTTGATTCTTCTTTTACTTCTACAACATCTGTCACCAATTATCCACTAACTGCAGAAGTTTGAACTCACTGTGGGAGACATTTAAAACCACTTCTTACTGAGTTTAGCTCAGAATTTTTGGTTACACCTGTTAAGATCTGAAAGAAAGCTCTGCTTCTGCCTTCTCACATTTATCACTTCAAACGGCTCTCCTACCTTTTTGTCATAGGCCAGTGATGTGGAGGCTGGCTCCTGCTTCAAGAAACTACATAAAGTTTCTGGTTCTAAGACAATTGACTGTGTTTTCTATTCTCATGTGCTGTATATTCATAATTTGAAAAATCCTTGTAATCTTCTTGTTGCCAGGTGGGACTATCAACCATTATTATGCTGCTTTATAGCAGTTGAGGTTTGTTCCCTACTACTTTATTTTAACTACTATTGACTACCATTTTCTATATGTTCACATGTGTGCATTGTTTTGTAAATGCTGTAAATACCAGTGCTAACAGTTTTCAGTTGCTTTCCTCTTTACACAAAGGAAATTTCAGACAGTGGCTAAGAGCTCAGGATTTATAAGTAAATACAGACTCAGGCATTGAACACTCAGGCATTAAACAATTCTTTAATTTTGGCTATTATTGTATTTCACTGAGCTTCTCCTTTCCTATAAATCATATTTTATTAAATGATTAACAAATATACATATTGTGCCCCTACTTTGTACCAGGTAGGTCTATTTCTTTTGGGGTATGTAATATTGATTTAAGCAGATAGAAGTCTTAACGATATGGAAGTTAACTCATAAAGGGAGAGGTAAACAACCATTAGAAGAAGAAATGCTTTTGTATTCATGTGAATCCTGCACAAAAATTTGGACAGGAGAACAAAAAGTCACATTTCTTTATTTTCTTAAAATCATATTAAATCTGACTTTGAGGTCCCATCTTATAATGCAGGCAGGAAATTGAATCCACTGCATTATTTGTGCCATTCTCCTTTCTCTGGGTCATCAAAACAGTATGAGTCAACTGTGGGATGAAAAGGCATGCCAGTTACCCCATATCTTTATCCCATCATGGCCACCTTTGATGTGCTTCTTATCCATCCTCAGCAGTACCTTGATGCTATGATATGACGTTGCAAATGTGTAATTTAAAACTCAGTTATATCTTCTAGGAGATTTTAAACCAAACAATGAAATAAAATCCACCTGGCATTAAAACCACCTCTCCAGGTTTCTGAAAGGTAATGGGATATAGAACAACTAACTTTGGAATACCACTCTCCCCTAGACCTGAACTAAATTAACACTCCTTTTCTTATTTCAACTTCTTTCTCCTCACAGGCATTCAGTTCTCCCCACCTACCATTTGTATAATTCCTAAGGAACTTAGATTTCCAGAGAACAAAACCTAGGGTCTCATTTTCTGTCAGGATCTTTGTGTTTTCTTCTTCATATACCTCACATTATTCATAAGATGAAACACATCTGAGTTGGGCAAAGGATTACAAACGACTTGTTGATTTGCTTAAAATTGGAGAAAACATTATAGACACAAAACAGTTAATATCAAATTAATTAGTTATACCACAATTATTAAGTTGTATGAGACAATAAAGAATAATATTATCATGGAGAGTAAAATGATGCTTTGGAAAGAGCTTATATGGGATGGTCATGGAAATTATTTAAATAGAATTACTTATATGGGACGGTCATAGAAATCATCTTTGAAAAGATAACACAGTAAAAGATGACATATTTAAAAACTGCTATATGAAAAGCTGGAGAAAGAACCTCTGAAAACCTTGGAATCCACATGGTGAGAGTCTCTAAAATAATAAGAATTGAAAATGACGTGAGACAAGAGTGTATTGAACAAAGAGAAGAGTAGCTAAAGAGGCCGCTGTGAGAATAAATAGGGGTCAAGTCATATAAAACCTTGTAAACTATAGAAAAAGAATTTTGATTCTAAGTGCTGAGTGAAGATAATCATGTTTACATGGGCAGGTTACATGATTTTATTTTCATTTTTGAAAGATCCTTTGGCACCCACAGAGATGTGTGAAATCAAATAAGAGAGAAAGCATGGGAATGTTTTAGGAAATCCCTGAAACTGTCCACAACAGAGAAAAGGATGCTGAGGAGAAAAGATGAGGCATCATTTTTGCAAGGTGATTGTCAGAGTCACACATGCATTATACTCATGTAATAGTATCATTTGTGTCGATATCCTGATTACTGTTATGACAGTATATTTTGTGATTAGAGTTTGAAACTAATGAATCTTGTCTAGAAAGAAAGGATTACTGGTATGGACAGGCAGTTACCCTAAACATTGGCTTCTTTGTTTTTCTGGGTGCTGTGTTATTTGTTAACCTTGAAACATTTGTGCTTTGTTTTATCTTCTAAGTATGTATTCATCATTTTACCTAACTTTTAATAGATGAGTTTATTTATTAAAAAGAGTCCCACAAATATAAAAGCTTCAGGTCCTTTAACACACAAATACGCAGCCCTTTATTTTATTTGCAATTATGGATTATGTACTAAAAGAAAGCCCTAAGAGAGGGCATAATTTATTTCAATTGATTTTATTATAATTATCATTATCATGAATTATCATCATTATCATGAATAAATATTATTATCATTATCATGAATAAATTACCAAGAATTATTATTCATGAAAAATATGGTTTGAAATAATCACATTATCATTATCTATACCTTGAAATGTCCTAGGAATATCTTGAAAACATGAGAGAATATAGGCCAGCTCTATAACAATTGTTTCAAGAGGATTGTTATATAAAATATAGAAGGATATTTTATATGTTTATATTTTGTGTAATATGACAAAATTAACAAGTAGTTAACAAAGAAGGGATTCTTTATACTAAAATAATATTAAGAATAAAAATCTGTTGAAGAAATATATGAGGAGTATATGGGTAAATGAGAATTTTCACTGTGATCTAAGAAGTCATTTTCCAGCTTAGAACATCAGCATCGAGAGACAAAGGGAAGTCATAAGGTCATATGGTCTATAACCTTCAGAGCTGAAACAATGCTTACCTCAGTTAGACATGCACAATTCAGAGTGAAGCCTGATGATTTTTCTGTTGCTGTATCTGGCAAAGTAAAAGCAAAGCCCACATTTTTGACCTGGAGTTCTTTATGCTTATAATAAAATTTGATTTTCTGGGTTTTACTTTTTGGGGTGTGTGTGTGTGTGAGAGAGAGAGAGAGAGAGAGAGAGAAAGATTCTCTTTTGTTCTGAACCAATTTAAACTTGGTTTCTATATCTAATATAGTCACACTTGTTTAATGACTTTCTGTCTAAACAAAGTTCACTGGGTGCAGGTTTATCCTGAAGGTATATCAAGCTAATGGAATATTTTAGTACTCTCTTGATAATAATAATCTAATAATTTGAATTTGCAGACACTAAGAAGAAGGAGGAGGAAAATAAGGAGGAGGAGAGAATCACGAAAAGGAGGAGGAACAAAAGGAGAGAAAAAAGAAAGAAGGGGAGATGAAGAAGGAAAATGAATTATTTACATTTTATAGTCTCATCTCCTATGACTTTACTTACACAAATTGGCTTATTTCTCACAAATATAAAGGTTTGTAACTGTTCTATTTTACAAATAGAAAATCAAAAAGCACAACTTAGCCTTAGAGAGGTTAAGTCACTTTCTCTGCTAATAAGTTTAAGACCTAGAGCGCTAAAATAGGAAGAGTGCTCTTAGCAGTGCCCAGCTTTTAATCAGTACCGCAAGCCTGCTTGGTTTGCTGCATAGGCTTCTATGCAGCCTATGCATAGAAGGAAAAAAAAAAAAAAGCAAACACATTTTAAATACAGGAATGCATTGTTGCAAGGCTAATGTTATATAAATCCCTGGAAAGCAGTGGTGATTATAGTTCTTTACCACATTAAAAATACAATAAAAATGTTTTGTTTCAAAAATATCTAAATACATTAATTAATCTTATTTTGTACTCATAAACATCATGACAGGTGCTAGGAATACAAATATAAGTAAAACATAGTGTCAATTTCTTAGACTCTTACAATCTAGTAGATGAGACTAATCTGTAAATATATAATTACAATTAAACATTGTGTAGGTTTTAACTTTGATAAAACTGAAACCCACAAAATATAAACTCTGAACAATATCAAATACAAGATGTTTAGGTAAGAAAAACATGTACTTAAAAGATACACTATTCTCTATCAATATTCCTCAAAGATCACTAAAAAATCCACATATGCACACATATATAGTACATGAAATATTCCACTGAAATATTTCACTTTTCTGCTCACTTTTCTCACAATCTGTAGATATTACTGAGACTACTTTTCAAACTCCTAAATTCAGTTCTTTATCCAATTGAATTAATGCAATTTCTTATGATTTACTAAAATAATTCCCGAGATTCACAATATTTTATTGTATAAGCAAATTTAACTTCTGCTATAGCACTAAAGAATCTTTGGTTGAAAACACAGGGAAAAAATTTGGCAATGATGTTGTTTTTTTTTCCCTTTGGTTTTCCAGGGAGGGGTATGAAACATAAATAGAAAACTCTCGTTAACTGAAGCAGAAGTAAAAGAGACATCACTACTGATTTTAGAAACATTAAAAAGATAATAAGGAAATATTATGGACAACTTTACGGACATAAACTCTACAAGAAAAAGGCTTTATAAAACAAAATCTCACTGATCGGAAAGGAAGAAATACAACTGTCTTTATTTGAATGTAACATGATTGTCTATGTAGAAAATCCCCAAAACTGTATCAAATAAAGTTTGTAGAACTGCTAAGTAAGTTTAGTATATACAAAATATAGTTGTTTTCTCTATATTAGCAATGAAAAATATGAATTTACAGTTTAAAATATATCAATAGAATTAATACATACATAGAAATATAATATAAATATATAAATATAGTAAGTATATATACAAGAGCATGAATATATAAACATATCTATCACTGCAATAACAAAAAGGAAATACATATGTATTTATATACATACATAGTGTATATATACACAGAATCTTAATGATGAAAAGTGTAAACACTACAGAAAGAAACAAATAAGGATTAATATATAAATGGAGAGATAAATCATATCCATAGATTGAACAACTCATTAAATAATAGAATACTATTTAACAATAAAAAGTAATAAGCTATCAATTCACACAACAAAAACATGAATCTTAAATATGAGTTTTTAAGTAAAAGAAGCCAGATCCAAAATGTGCATTCTAGAAATTACGATATTCTTAAAAAAGCAAAATGATGGGTGTAGAAAATAGGTCAATCATCATCAACGTTTGGAGTAAAAAGTAATGATTAATACAAAGAGCCACACAAGATATTTGTTATAGGACAAGGGTTGTCTATAAATTGCTGTCTGTATAGCACAGGATTGTCAACACAAGTCATTAAATATTTTTCAAAATTATTATGGTAGTACCAATGACTCTATATTTTGAAAGATTTATACCTAAGTACCTCAGAGTTTTGTTGTTGTTACTATTGGAAATAATGATTCTATTTCAAATTTTAGTTTTTCATTGCTGGTATATAGGAAATAAATGGACATTTGTATATTGATCTTATGTCCTGATATCTTGTTATGCTTGTTTATTAGTTCTGGTAGTGCTTTGTAGATTCTTTGGGCTTTTTCACATAAACAATCATGCCACCTGAGAATAAAGATAGATTTATTTAGTTTTAAAATATAAAGATATTTTAATAATTTATTTTTAACTCATATTATTGCAGGAGCATGATATAGAATAGAAGTGAAAATAGAGGACATCCTGTTTCCAGCCGTAGGGGTAAAGTGTCCACTCTCTCACAATTATATATGATGTCAGGAGTTTGTTTCTTTTTAGTCGATGTTCTTGATCATTTTGAGAAAGTTTCTCTCTATTTCTAATTTGCTGAGATTTTACATAATGAGTATTGGATTATGCAATGCAATGCTTTTTGTATGTCAATTTATATGATAATTTTATATTTACTTAAACGTTTCATTTTGAAGACTACATTGATTTTGGAGTGTCTAATCTATCTTGCATATCTAGTATATATCTCATGTGGTCATCTTTCATAATTCCTTCTATAGCTAGATTTGACTTCACTATTTTATTGAAGCTTTTTCTGTCTGGGTTCATGAGAGATATTCATATGGAATTTTCCTTATAATATTTTTATTATTTATAGTATTGGCATAATATTGGCCTATAAACCTTGCAAAAATTTCCCTCTGATTTTATTTTCTGGAAAGAATTGTGAAGAATTGCTAATGGGTCTCTGTAAAGGTTTAGTAACACTAAACAGTGAAGCCACCTTATGCTTGGTACTTATTTTTTGGAGGGTTTTAAATTATTTTTTCAATTTCCTTAATTCATTTATATAGTACAATTCAGGTTACCTGCTTTTCATTGTGTAAATTTCAGTAGTTTGAATCTCTGTATAATCTATGTTATCAAATGTGTGGGAATAGAGTTTTTCACATTTCTTTTTTATCTTTTAATGTTCCTGGAATCAGTGTTATCAATAGTGATGATATCACATTTATTTCACTTGTGCCTCACCCACTCTGTTTTCACTAGTTAACCTGGCTAGAGATTTAATAACTTTATAGAACTTTTCAATGAACCAACTTTTGATATTGTTGATTTTTTCTATTGTTTCACTGTTTTCAGTTCCATCAATTACTGCTTTAATTCTATTACTGTTTTCTGCTTGCCTTATGCTTAAATTGTATTTTTTCTCTTTCCTAAGATGGAGGCTTTTTCTTCTAATACATGCATTTAAATCTATAAATGTTTTCTTAAGCACTATCTTCACTGCATCCAAATTTGTTTTGATAAGTTATGTTTTCAATGTTATATTTTCTTAAAATTTTAAAAACTTTTTTGAGACTCTTCCCTTACCCACGGTGTATATAGAAGTGTGATGATTAGTTTCCTGGTATCTGGGAATTTTCCTAATTTTTCTTTATTGATTTTCCGTTGAATTGTATTGTCTTCCGATAACATATTGTGCTTAATTTCTAGTCTTAAAATTAGTTAAGGTGTACTTTATGGCTCAAAATACAGTGTATATCAGTGGATGCTCCATGTGAGTATGAGCAGAATGCATAATCTAATTTCATTGGATGAATTATTTTATAAATTTCAATTAGATTAATCAGACTGATAGTCTTATTCAGGTCAAGTGTATCTTTGCTGATTTTCAGATTGCTTTATCTATCAACTAGTAAAATAAGGATGTTTAACTCCTCAAATACAGATTTATCTTTTTGCAGTTTTATTAGTTTTTATCTTACATACTTTGACACTTGAATGTTAGGTGGTGTGATGGTTAATACTGTCAACTTGATTGGATTGAAGGATACAAAGTATTGATCCTGAATGTGTCTGTGTGGGATTTGCCAAAGGAGATTAATATTTGAGTCAAGTAGCTGGGAAAAACAGACCCACACTTAATCTGGGTGGGCACCATCTAATCAGCTGCCACTGTGGCTAAAATAGAAAGCAGGCAGAAAAACGTGAAAAGACTAAAATGGCCTAGCCCCCTAGCCTACAGCTTGCTCCCATGCTGGATGCTTCCTGCCCTCAAACATCAGACTCCAGACTCCAAGTTCTTCAGTTTTGGGACTCAGACTAGCTTTCTTTGCTCCTCAGCTTGCAGATGGCCTATTGTGGGACCTTGTCATTGTGTGAGTTAATACTTAATAACCTCCCCTTTACATATATATATCAAATATATATTAAATGTATATATTATATATTAGTATAATTATATAATATTAATTAGATTGTTAATATTATACAATTATACTATATTATATATTTAATATATTATATATATTTAATAATATGAATAATAGTATATAATTATATAATAATATATATTAATATAGATCTTATTAAGATATATATCTTAATAAATAAACTCCCCTTTATATATATATCCTATTAGTTCTGTCCCTCTAGAGAACCCTGACAAATAGAGGTGCATATACAGTAAGAATTACATCTTTTTAATTAACTACTATAACATAATGTAATGCTCATGCTCACCTTCATCCTTACACTCTTCCTTGTTTTTGTTTGTTGTTTTTGGGGGAACAGGGTCTCACTCTGTCACCCAGGTTCGAGTGCAGTGGCACAATCATGGCTCACTGGAGCTGCAACCTCCTAGGCTTATGTGATCCTTTCACCTACCACCTCAGCCTCCCTAGTAGCTGGGACTAGAGGCCTGTACCCTCATGCCAGCTAATTTCTGTATTGTTTGTAGAGATGGGGTTTTACCATGTTGCCCAGGCTGATCTTGAACTCCTAAGCTCAAGCTATCTACCTACCTGCCTCAGCCTCCCAAAATGCTGGGATCACAGGTGTGAGTGAGTCAATGTGTCCAGCCATCTTCCTTATTTTGATGTGTGCTTCGTCTGAAATTTAATATAGCTATTTCAGCTTTTTATAATTAGCATTTTCATAGGATAACTTTATCCATCCCTTTACTTTTGAATTGTCTGAATCTTTATATGTAAAGCGTGTTTCTTTATTCAACATAATATCATGTTTTGTTTTTTTTCTTTTTTTTTTGTATATCTTCACAGGGTGCTATATGATGTTTTGACATATGTAGAAAAATTAAATCAAGCTAATTAACGTATCCATCACCTCAACTACTTATATTCTGTGGTGATGTATTAGTTTGCTCTCATGCTGCTACGAAGAAATACCCACTACTTACTGGGTAATTTATAAAGAAAAGATGCTTAATAGATGAACAGTTCCACATGGCTGAGGAGGCCTCAGGAAACTTACAGTCATGGCAGAAGGCACCTCTTCACAGAGCAGCAGGAGAGAGAATGAGTGCCAAGCCAAGGGGGAAGCCCCTTATAAAACTATCAGATCTCTTGAGAAATCACTCAGTATCATGAGAACAGCTTGAGGAAAAAAAAATGCCCCCATGTTTCAATAATCTCCACTTGGTCTGGCCCTCGACATGTGGGGATTATTACAACTGAAGGTGAGATTTGCGTGTGGGCACAGAGTCAAATGGTATCAGGTGTGAATGTATAAAATCTATGCTTTTAGCAAATTAAACACATTCCTCCTGTCAAACTTTAAATTTATACCCTTTTTTCAACACCTCACTTTTTCCCCATCTCATACCAATACCATACCTCCCACCAATACCAACCACTATGTAGTTCATGCAAGTAACAAAATTACAACTGACCCCATAAATTTATAAAATATAAAATAAAGAAGTGGTATAAGTGCACAAATTAAAAGTTTTTAGAATGTGTAAAATACCTGCATGATCACACTTATTTCAACATTATTCACAATTGCCAAGTTACGGAGGTGACATAAGTGTCCATCAATGGATGTATGGATAAAGGAAATGTGTTATGTACAAACAATGCAATACTTAACACCTATAAAAAAGGAAATTATGTTATTTTTGACAACATAGATTAACCTGCAGGATATTTTGTTAAATAATCCAGGGAACAGAAAGACAAATTCTGCATAATCTCACTTATACAGAAAATCTAAAAGATTAAAAGATTGAAGCAGAGAGTAGAATATTGCTTTACACGTGCTCTGGGTATAACAGGGTATTTATAATATGGCATAACCTTATAGCACCTCCCTCCTATCACTGTGCTATTGCTGTCATTCATTTCACTTATAGGTAAACTATACTTGTTAATACAGTGCTATTCATCTTTTATTAAACTCTTATATCAATTGAGTAAAAAAAAACTTTTAAAAGCATTTTACTTTCATCTCCTCTTTTGTGATGCTTATTCTTTTTTAATTTAGATCCAGCTTACTGATTCTTCTTGAAATGCATCTTTTAACATTTCCTTCAAGGCAAGTCCCCAGGAAATGAACTTCTTCAGTTTTGGATGATTTAGGGGAATCATTCTTTCCTCTTTTACTTTTGTAAGATAATTTAGCTAGCTATACAATTCTAGTTTGCTGTTTGTTTTTTCAACACGTGCTGTATTTAAGTATATCTTACTTCCATAGTTTCTGATGAGAGGTTCACTGTACTTCTCATCCTTGCTTCACTATAAATAGGTTGTGCTTTTCTTCTGACTTCTTTTTCAAAATGTTTGGTTGGTCTTTGGTTTTATGCAGTTTGAATAAAATGTACTTTTTCCATGATAGCCATTAACATATTGATCATAGTAACTTAATTTCCTTAGAATAATTTGAGCATAACTGAGTATGGCTGTAATGATTACACTGTATCTTAATAGTACATACTTTTATTTTTAATAGATCATATTTTTGGAAGCTAGATATGTTATATCAGGTAATAGGAAAAGAGAGGAGTAGATCTTTAGTATAAATATTTATGAAAATCTCACTGAGATTTTGGCTGTGCTTTATGTTTAATGAAGTAAAAGATATGAAATGCTTCAAATTCCTCCATTATTTTTCTCCCTATTTTCTTTGTGTTACTTATGTGCTCCTCCTAACACTATTTTAGTCTCTGTGGTAAAATACTATTATTACACTAAAGTCTTCTTGATGAGGTTGTAAAGTTTAGGAGAGATAGTGTATCCCATCACTTCATGACTAAATTTCAGTTTTATACTGTGTCTGGATTTTGTAGTTGTGACATTCACAAGAGTTTCTTCAATGGTCTATTTTCTCCCTCCTCCCTATTATTTTTTTTCCAGATTGCAGCATTCACAGTCCTTTTTATTGAAGATCTGACTTGAGTATGTTCATTTATTTCCTTAGTCACAACTGGAAGGTAGGATGTGGCCAGAATGGGGATCAATTTCTTTCCTTCTTTGGTTGAAATTTCAGAATTGCACTCTAGTAATCTCCATTCCCTTGGAGAATACACTTTGTTAAGGAGAAGACTCTGGGAATGTTTCACAATGATTATTCTTCTCCTTCCACTGCCAAGACATGGAGGGTTCCTTTTTTTTTTTTTTTTTTCTCGGATCCTGACCATGAGAACCTAGTGATATTCCTGCAAGGAAAACTCCATGAGAATGGAAATATGAGCCTCATTTAAATTTGTGGCCCCAGGATTTTTTGCTCCCAGAAATCCCCAAGGAATCTCACAAAATTACCATTTTAGAGTGTTTCCTAGTTTATGGTTCCAGTATCTTCTCCTTCAGTTGAGCACATCTAGATAGCTACACCTCTCTGGATGCACTTGTCTCTCTAGATTTTAGGGTGGTGTTTTCCTAAATCCTGTTCTCTGATATGTCCAAGAAAAGTTGTTGATTTTCAGTTTTCTTTATTTTCCCTTTTTTGTGGTAATTGGGATAACAACTACCAAGTTCTTGAATTTAATGACAAATGTCTCTATTTGCTTTTAGCAAACTAAATATAATTGTAAAAAATTAAACTGAAAAAAAATCCAGCTGAATCAACTTATTTGAAGAGAAAACTGCATATTTTTGATCCAACTAGCTCCATTTTAAGCTTTTATTGTTTTGAAGCTACTATCCACACTTTTTATGAAAAAAATTTTAGAAAACTCAGTGTACTACCAGAAAGTACTTGCTGTTCAACTGCAAGAAATGAAGTTCGCTGATGACCTCCAGCTGTTACAGCCTTCAGAACTAACTCACCTTTTAAGCTAAGGTCAATCTCTTCTCAGATGCAGTCTCCTCCAGGCAATGCAGGGGCAGGGTGCAGATATTCTCGCTTTGTCACTTATGCTCAAATTGGAACTGTCCTCTAAATGGTAATCTTAGCTTTGGATCTCCCTACTGAGTTAGCCAGACTTTGACATATCTACATCAAAGTTTAAGGCTTTCTCTGCTCACTCCTGCTACCTTCCACCATTTTTTTTTCACAGATATCTAATCTGTATCATTTTTGGATCGTGTCATGCCTAATCTACTTTCTCTCTTTTTTAACTTTCATGACCATTGTTCATCAATAAACTTCTTGAACTCCTAATTCCCTCTGTGTTTCCAACCCAGATTATACCACTTGTATATTATACTTGTTAAAATAATATTTTTTCTTAAACTTTTGCTTACCTCCAATTATTTAATAGGACAAATAACTGAATATCTCAGCTTTTCTATAGGCAAAATAAAGAATAGTTTATTTTATATATCTGTCTTGAGAATTAATGTTATACATTTATGGTATTTAGAGCATTGCCTCACAAATTAAGTATAATACATTGCTAATGCTGTCACATTTATTATTCATAAAATTTACTGATCAATGTCAGTAAAGATGAATTTCAAGCTTTTACTTTTACAATTTTAAAATTTATATATTTTGTTTTTATTTATTTTCTAAGTTTTCTAGCCCTGTCTCAGCAAAACCATAGATATCAAAGAATTTGAGGAGCTTTCAAAAAAGCTAAACAAAATATTATTAATTTACTTGTATCAGCATATCTTTTAGTATTCTATATAGAGTTATTTTTAATGGTCAAACAATATTATCTCATAAATTTAGTAGAAAAACATTTCTGACTTTTGCCAGTTTTATTTCTTTTCTGTCAACCTTAACCCATTTTTACTTACACAATCTTAGACTGTTTTTTATTACTTTAATTGCATTTTGGATAATGATCAATATTAAGTTGTTTCTGTATACACACATACACATACTATGAAGCTGATGTTTCATGCACATAGCCAGGAATTGCTTCCTAATGACTAAGAGTACCAATTAGGTCAATGTTTTCCAGTCTGCCAAATTAATCATGTGGGTGTATCGCTATTTTAATCTATTTGAAAAAAAAAATAAAAAATACAAACATTTATATTAGATTGTCTACTAAGCTAAGGTCTGATTTCTAAAAACCTTCATACTAGTACTCTGAAAATGAATTCATATAAGTTAGATTTTACAATTCACTTCCTACCATTCTAGTCAATAAAGAGTAAATTTTACTTTAAATTACTAAAAAAAAAATCAAAGCTTTCTAAAATATGCTAAGAATTTAGGACATTAAACCTTTGTTGTGGAGGTAATACCACTCATTCAATTTTTATTTCTAATTCAGAAACACTAAACGAAACTTTTAATTAAATACAATTTGTATGTATTCAGTGCTATTCTCTCCCGATTTCTTGTGTAGGGTAATGGAACTGAAATAAAAATTAGTGAAACACTCTATATCCACATGGATTTTGCTAGTACACAGAAGACAATAGAAGACTAGATAAGGTGAGAATCAAAATGAAGTACAATATTACTATGTGTTACAGACAAAAGTTTGATCTTGTTGAAGGAGATTGGAAAAACCTTCATGGAAATGGTGACATTCCTAATGATTGTTCAATAATGTGCAGCCTCCAGAAGAGTAAGCCCGAGGGAGGCTGGAAGATCCAGTGCCATCAGGAAAAGACACAGATGCAAAATCAAAAGATTTGACTCAACAGCTTAGGGAATAGAATGTAAGCAAGACTTTTTTGGTACATAATAATGTGGAAATAAATAAGGAAATATAAATCTGGGAGAGAAAATTAACTCAAAAATACAGAATACTTTGTCTGACGGAGTGGTAGTTCACACCGGCTTTACCGGATGAAAAGTTGTTAAAGGCCTGTAAGCAGTGGAAAATGGTGTCACTAGAGATTTGGGAGCTCTTTGTCTAATAATAAATTGGATAGATTGATGTTGTTGAAGAAACAGTTTATGTAAAAAGGTTATTACTTCTTTCATTAGGAATAAAGAAGTAATAGATTAAACAAGGGTAGAAGCACTGAAAATTCTCAAAGGATAGCATTCATTTGAGAAACATTAGTGAATTAGAATTTATATAGTGAAAGCATAGTCATACTCAATATAATGATGCTTAATTTAAATGTACATAAAATACATAGATTTATAAATGTACCATGTAGAAATTATTGGATTATTAAATATAAAACATTTATTCATTCTACAAATAGTTATTGATCATCTAATGTTAGTGAGGAGCTACTCTACACATTCGAACAAAAGAGACATTTAAATACATTTAAATTCAAATGGGAAAAGAATACCATAGACAATCAAAGATGTTAATTTTAGTCTATAAAATACATAGAAATACTGACATATATGATCCATTGGTATGGTTGTCAGGCAAAATCTAAGAAAAACTATTTAAGCTAAATTCCAAATTATAAAAAGCATACCTTGAGAAAAGGAGTATTACTTTATTAGAAACTATAGAAAGTTCAATTGAAAAAGAACTCTGTTTAAGTCACATAAATTACGCTTATATGGCTGAGGTGTATTGAGGTGTGGAGGAACAGTGGAAGAGATGAGGCTGGAGGTGGTGGGAAGCCAAATCTCAGAGGGCTATAAGAATGTTTTAAGAAGGCATATTTTATTTTTATATTTATAAAGCTCCTCTGGCTGCTGTGAGGAGAATTAATAGTACAAAAGTAAAATAAGAGGACATGCAATAGTTAGGACTTACTGGCAGTTACCCAGGAAAGACTCCAATGAGGGCAGGAAGAAGTGATAGAAAGGGTAAATCATTGAAACATTTATGGGGAGGTATATTCAATACTTCCTAGTAGTAAATTGAGTGAGTTTTAAAACAAGATTTGAATTAAAGATTATTTTTATATTTTGAAATGTAAAACTTGGTAACATATTAATACTCTATCTTAGGTACACTTAGGAACAAAATTGGAATTTTGCCAAGAAACAACTAAGGTTTCCTATAGTAATACTTTAATTTGTGATTTCTATTAAATTTCTAACTAGAGTTTGCAAAAATAAAGTAGGATATGTGGAGCACAACAAACAATACAGGATATATGTTTACATGTGTAAATCATAAACCTAAGCTTGTTATTTGAGGCCATAAAATTGGTTGAAATCACCAAATAGTAGCATAGGAAATCTTGACGAGATAGAATAAAAAAATAGAAAATAAAATCCTTGTGGAGACATAGGCAATAATGAAGGTCACAAATGGTAACATTTCCATAGTGATTTGATGTTAAAAAGAAAGACCAGCCAACATCAGCAGATTACTTGAGGCCAGGAGATCCAGACTAGCCTGGCCAAGAGGGCAATTAAAAAAAAAATACAAGGCCCGGCGCAGTGGCACACGCCTATAATCCCAGCACTTTGGGAGGCCAAGGCAGGTGGATCACAAGGTCAAGAGATCAAGACCATCCTAGCCAACATGGCAAAACCCCGTCTCTACTAAAAATACAAAAATTAGCCAGGTGTGGTGGCATGCACCTGTAGTCCCAGCTACTCGGGAGGCTAAGGCAAGAGAATCACTTGAACCTGGGAGGCAGAGGTTGCAGTGAGCCAAGACCACACCACTGCACACCAGTCTGGTGACAGAGTGAGACTCTGTCTCAAAAAAAAAAAAAAAAAGTTAACTGGCTGTGGTGGTGTGCGCCTATAATCCCAGCTACTTTGGAGGCTGAGGAACAAGAATAGCTTGAACCTGGAAGGCAGAGATTGCAGTGAACCCAGATTGCACCACTGCACTCCAGCCTGGGTAACAGAGTAAGATTCTGTCTAAAAAAATTTAAAAAAAGAAAGAAAGAAAAAAACAGATAGTTGCACTAATCAGAAATCTTTGAAAACATAGTTTTAAATATAAATATTTGATTAATTTCTATATAAAAGCTAGTTCAGTAAAAATGGAAATTAACTTTAGCCCAATTAAAAGAACAGTTTTCTCCAAGGCAAAACTTATGCATTAGTAATTATTATTACCTTAAAAATGTGGTCAAATAGTATCTATGGGTCAAAATTTTGCAGTGTTTTGGTTGCTTTAAATCTTCATAATAAAATTGCCTCTCTAAAAATATTTCTTAGTAGTAGTCGAATATGACATACATATGAGAAAGGTATGTATGTATCCAGTGAAATTTATTTTGTGTAAAGGCATACAAAACTAATAATATAATTTTGTAAAAATATTACTTAGAATCTAGAATATGTCAGTACACATATTTGTGAGATGCTTTTCTACACCAGGTATTCTCTTACTGAGTCATAAACAGCTATGTACTAGGTATAATGTTATATCTAGAGTAATAGTCAAGCCTGTTTTATTCTAGGAAAATGAAAATATATAATAATATTTCAACAAAGAACAAAAAACAACCAGGTAATTAAAATTCAAGATTCATTTATAATGAAAATTTTAGAAGTAGATAGAAATTTTCTTACCTAAAGTTTATCTTTCCTGAACCAAGAGAATATACTATAATTAATGGATGAGGGGGAAAAAGCAAATCCTTTGGTAAGAAGAACAAAAGATCACTTGATGATTAAATTGAAGGGCTGGGTTTTCAAAGAAATTCCCATTTTTAAATATTAATAACACCTAGGATAATCATGGGGTTTTGAGTGGATTAATAGACTGTGTACTAAAGATCTAAGCTCTAATAAATGAGGGAGACTGATTAAGAAGTAAATAAATGGCCAGGGTGGTGACTCACACCTATAATCCCAGCAACTCTAGAGGCCAAGGCAGGAGGATCATTTGAGGCCAGGAGTTCAAGACCAGCATGGGCAGTATAGTGAGATCCTCTGTCTACAAAAATTATTTGAAAAAAAATAGCACTGTGAATATATCATATATTATTCGGAGTATGTATTATATATTGTATCATTTGTATTATAATATGCAATATTATATATTATGCTTCATTATAGTATTAGAGTTTTGTATACACATATATAATATAAATTGAATCAATATACATAACATTTAGCAAGAAATTTAAAAATAGTAATAAAATAAACAATATTGTTTAAGGTAAATTTTATACAGCCAACTAATTCTCAACATTGATATTTGCCAAATTCTTGTATCTATGACTAAAATATTGTTGAATTCAACCATGTTCAATAATTTAAGTTGCAGCCTATCCCTACATTTATTTCCAAAAAAAATTGTAATTAAATCTGTGGTTTTATTAGTCTGTTTTCACACTGCAATAAAGAAATACTCAAGACTGGGTAATTGTAAAGGAAAGAGGTTTAATTGACTCACAGTTCCGAATGACTGGGGAGGTCTTAGGAAACTTACAATCAGGGCAGAAGGGGAAGGGGAAGCAGGCGTTTTTTCATAAGGTGGCAGGAGGGCGAAGTGAGAGCGTAGGAAAAAAACTGCGACTTTTAAAACCATCAGATCTCGTGAGACTTCACTCACTATCATGAGAACAGCATGGGGGAAACCGCTCCCATGATCCAATCACCTCCCTCCTTCCACATGGGGGGATTACAGGTCCCTCTCTTATCACCCGGGGATTACAATTGGAGAGGAAGTTTGGATGGAAACACAGAGTCAAATTTTATCAGTGGTTTACCGTTAAAATATCTTTCACAATTCTACAATTTATTTTCGTTAAATAGAAAGTTACTTTAACTTCAGTACTATGTTTTAACTTTATTCCTCTGTCAGTGACCTGAGTTACTCTTTGCTGAAGTGGATAATGCTCTTTGAATACTGGAAAAATATTTTCTATTTTTGGAGTCCAAATTACGATGCAAAGTCTACCAATGTGACACAGTTTAAGATCTAATACTCGTTATTTTCATCCCCAGCCACCACCATCTTTTTCTCATTTGAGAAAAGAAATAACATATTAATTCCCCAACCTGTAGTGTTTGCCAACAATTTCTATGGTGCAAATACTCTTACCAAGACTCATTTTAAACTACTGATAACACAGCATACAACTTCATATCTCTTCTCCAACACTGGCATATGAAATTTTATGCCGTGCCGAGATATTTTCATCATATAGCTAAAATAGGTATAAATGTCCATAATAGCATAGACAAAAGAAAAAAGTAGCATAATTAGGAAATTATGAATTGTAAATATATATTTCCTTTGTCTTTAATATAATTTAGTTAAATGTTAGCTTATATAATTTATTAACTTTTGGATGTTTTAGATTCTGGTAAAATACATGTAATATAAAATGTACCATATTAACCTTTTGTAAGTATACAGTTCAGTGGTGTTAGGTACATTCGTAACTGTTGTTCAACCAACCATCACCACCATCCTTCCCCCAGGACACTTCTCTTCTTCCATTACTGAAACTCTATACACATTAGCCAGTAACACTTCCTTAACCTCTGCCCCCAGCCCCTTGGAAACACCATTCTACTTCCTCTGTCTGTAATTTCGACTACTCTAAGTGCCTCATGTAAGTAGAATAATAAATTTGTCCTTTTGTGATTGGCTTCTTTCACTTAGCATAATGTCCTCAAGGTTGTAGTGTATATTCAGAATTTCCTGTCATTTTAAGGCTAAATAACATTCCATTGTGTGTGTATACCACGTGTTCCGTATTCATTCATATGTCCATGGACACTTGCATCATTTATACATTTTAACTATTGCGAACAATGCTGCTACAAACGTGAGTGTACAAACATTTGTAGGAGACCTTTTTTTCGAATCTTGTGGCTGTATACACAGAAGTGGCATTGCTGAATCATATAATTCCATTTTTACTTATTTGAGAAACGACCAAGCGGTTTTCCAAAGAAACCTGTTCCACTTTACATTCCCACCACAAGTGCACAGGAGGTTCCATTTCTCCACATTCTTGCCAATACTTGTTATTTTTCTTTTGTTTTCCTGATAGCAATAATGCTAATAGATGTCAGATGATATCTTACTGTAGTTTTGATTTGCATGTGCCAAATAGCTATATTGAGCATCTTTCATGTGTTTAATTGTCATGTTTATATATTCTTTGGAGAAATGTCTAATCGAGTTCAGGTTTCATTTTTGAATCAGTTTTTTAAAAATATTTAATTTTAGTAATTTTCTATGTATTCTGTATATTAACCTCTTATAGACATATTATTTGCAAATATTTCTCCTGTTCTGTGTGTAGCCCTTTCACTCTGTTGATAGTGTTTTTAGATGCACAACTTTTAGAAGACATTTGCAAAGTCCAGTTTTTTTTATTGCTTATGCCTATGGTATGATATCTAGGATATCATTGCCAAAGCCAATGTTGTGAAACATTTGCCCTATATTTTCTCATAACAGCTGTACTTTTAGGTCTTACATTTATTTAGGTCATGGATGCATTTTGATTTAATTCTTGTATGTAGTGTTAGGTATGGGTCCAACTGCATTTTTTACATATAGATATCCAGTTTGTTCAACAACATTATCTAAAAAGACTGTCTTTGCTTCATTGAATGGCCTTGGCATCCTTTTTGAAAATTATTTGCTGATAAATGTGAGAATTTATTTATGAGCTCACTATTCCATTCCATTTACCTGTATGTCTGTCTTTATATCAGTAACACACCACTTTGATTACTGTGACTTTGTGGTAAGTTTTGAACCCAGGAAGTGTGAGTCCTCTAAAAAATATTTTATTTTTATTTATTTAATTTCTTTCAGCAATGTTTGTATTTTCATCCTATAAGTCTTTTACTACATTGGTTACTTCCTACGTATTTTATTTGTTTGATGCTACTATAAATAAAATTAGTTTTTTAAAACTTCCTTTTTGGATTGTTCATTGTTAGTGAATGGAAATGAAATCGATTTTTGCATGTTGACTTATTCTACCACTTTGCTGAATTTATCAGTTTTATCATTTTTTTGTGGAAAAATAAGAATTGTATCTATGTAAGACCATATCATCTGTCAACAAAGATAATTTTACTTCTTTCTTTCTAATATGGATGCCTTTTAATTTTTTTTTTGTCTAATGTCTCTTAATTGAATTTCCAATACTATGTAAGTAGAAATGGTGAAAGCAAGCATCTTTGTCTTGTTCCTTAACCTTACACAAAAACTTTCAGTCCTTCACTGTTAAGTATAATTTTATTGTAGGTTTTTCATATGTGGCTCTTATTATATATATCTTTTTTCTATTTATATTTTGCTGAGTGTTCTATTTATCATAAAAGTGTCTTGTATGTTGTCAAATACCTTTTCTGCATCAACTGAGATTAACATATGTATTTTTTCCTTATTCCATTAATGTGGCATATGACATTAATCAATTTTCACATCTCGAATCATCCTTGCACTCCAGGAATAAATTCCATTTGCTCATGTTTTATAATTATCTTAATATGCTGCTAAATTCTGTTTGGTTTGCTAGTATATTTTTGAGGAGTTTTGCATAAATGTTTATAAGGGATACTGGTCTGTAGTTTTTTTTTTTTAATAGTACCGTTGGCTTTAGTATCAATGCTGTTGGCTCCAGAGTATGAGTTAGAAAGTGTTCCATTGTTCCATTCTCTTCTCCCTCTCTTTTTTTTTTCTTTCTTTCTTTCTTTTTTTTTTTTTTTGGAAATGTGTGAGAAAGATTGGTGTTTGTGCTTCTTTAAGTGTTTGGTAGAAATAGCTTGTGAAGCCATCAGGTCCAGGGCTTTTCTTTACCATGGGTGTGAAGAATTGGTTGCTGCTGCTGAACTGAGCTAAAATTGACCAAAATTAACCGCACTTTACAATCCAAATCTTTCCTTGGAAGTTGCAAGACTTTAATAAGCTCCAGAGTTCCAGGCAGATTTTCCCTATGTACTTGCCTGAGTGGGGTGACAGATTCCTGGTGCTTCCTAATCTTCCAACTTTGCTGAATGTGCCCTATAGTTTAATTTTAATACTGGTTGTATATAATGATTCTCTTGCAGAGAGTTTGAAAATTTAGTAATTAGCTCTCAGTATGGGCCAACTCCAACATACTACTTGCTGCAAGCGAAAGCATTTTTATAGTTCAGAGAACATACAGAAAAAATAAGTTACATAGTTATGGAATGGTGGTTTTTCAGTGTACAATTAAATGGTTTACAGTTGGAAGGTAGGGAGGGCTTGATCATGTGTAAGGCAATGATTATCATTATAGATGTGATAATATACAAAGAATGATTGCCAGTATGGAATAGGGACATAACTTTGGGATGAAATGATTAAAACAATGAGAGACACACTGTTTTGCTTTAAACAAGCTCATTGATGCCAGTAGGTACTGATTCAACTGGCAAGATAAAGAGGTTTACTTGTTAAAAATGGTTATGGATATAAACCTAGCAGAATCACCCTAATGAGTAGAATGAATAGTGCATGCATAAACTGAACTTAAAATGTATTATCAATTTTGAGTACCAATTATGGACCAGGCCAGAGATAAAATAGTCTTCTCTTAAGCAGCTTATATTTTAGTGTGAGAGTCAGTTACTATTCAGATAAACACAGAAAACAATGTAAAATTTTTAGCCTCAAAAGTTTCTGAATGAGTGATTTATGGACCTAATGAGGTGTTTAAAAGTAGAACTTGCCAATTTAAGGCTTAAGGGAAGAATTCCCTGAGGAAATAATAATTGAACTGAAATTAATGGTTCATTAGGCATATTTTAAAGAGAAGAATACTAAGAAACTGGGGACAGATTTCAAAAAGGCACTGTGAAAAAGAAAAGTCAGGAGACCTGTCATGCCAGGGGAGAATGGAAAAATAAATATTAGACAGGGTATTTTAATTATTAGTTATGGAAACAAAATCAGGCTTCCCTTAGCAATAAATAAATAAATACATACGTAAAATATAACTGACTTGAATAATTGAAAAATTTAGGTATGATTGAATTTACTATTTAAATGATGCAACCAAGAATTGACTCTTTTGTAATTGCTTGGCTTGGAAGTTTATTGCATTGTCTTCACTTTTAATTGGCTCCTTTCTCATTCACACAAGATGGCTTCCATGATATTTAGTTTCCATCAGTTCTGAACCTCAACAATAAGGATCTTCTTTCATGAAAATTCTAACAACCTTTGGACTGTTATGAATTGAATCTATTTGGGTCTTCTGCTATATCTTTCAATAAATACCTGTGGTTAGAGGGATGGTATGAAATGGATAACGTAGTCTAAGTCACATCTGACACTTTCAGCTTAAATCATATGAACTATTATATTACGATGGCAGATGTCTGTATCCTGTAAGAAAAATTGGGGAACTATTAACAGAGGAAAGACAAATGGTTCCTAAGCTTGCCAAAAATCAGATGTAATAAATATCTAGCCATGTAGGCCTCTGCATGATATGTAAAATTTACGACTAAAAGTGTTCTGAAAGTGAGAGAAGTAGTTCAAAACTATTTAGTAAAAGTGGGGTAATATGTCAAATTTACATTTTCAAATGTTCACTATTCCCACAAGGATTAGAAAATATTGGGAAGGTACTGGTTGGAACCTTGGGGGTCAGAATGGGTCACTGGTATTATAAAAGTCAATAGACCTGTTAATTGACAATGAGATTATGTATGAGTTAGCAGAAATGAGAAAAATGGAAAGAAGTGGTTTGAATCTGGCTTAGACACTATTGAAAGAATCTGCAGAAATCCCTCCTCCCTAAACATACACACAGAGAAATATTGCATAGGTTTTCTAAAAATGGAAGGAGAAACTACCAAACTGTACAGCCTGGATGACATTAATTACAGAGTGAAATGTTAACCAACATTTAAAATGATGGATTTCTATGGATTGTCTTCAAATAATTATATTGAATGTCAGCATATGATTAATATATGAAGACTAATCATTGTAAATTGATATCAATTAAACTATCATAAACCTTAACTTATAAAATGTATTACTCTTTTCATTCAAGATTTCTGCTTATAAAGGCTGACTTTCAATTATTACTTTTTGATTTATAGTAGTAACCTCAACATCTAATATTATTCCACTATTTGCTGCACAGAAATTAGTATCTGTACCATGACAAAATCATCATTATTTTTTTGACAGAGATTAGAAAGATATGCCCAGAAAGTGGTAAATTTATTTTCTTTTTGTGATCAGTAAGACCAGGAGTTTTGCTCTTCATAGGATTCTTGTGTTAATCACAATGTGGAATTTGTATAAAGAAACAATTTGATGGTTTCTCATTCCATCTATAAGCCTCTTTTTATGGATCATTTTAATAACATGACTTCACTCCCAACTTGCAAAGATGAATGCTGCTGGGAAAAAAAAGTTCAGTTACATAAAGGGTGTAATTAAGATGAGTAATCTATGATCTTCCATCCTGTTGTGTCTATTTTTGCTTGGCATTTTTTTTTCAAATTAATTCATACCTTACTTTCATTCTCAATGATGACTCTATTATTTGGTTGAGAATTTTTGTGCACATAAGGTTCATGAGAGATATTAATCTGTAGTGGCTGTGGTTTATATACGATTTACTTTTCCTCCCACAAAACTCGTGTTGAAATTTGATCCCCAGTGTGGCAGTGTTGGTACCAGGGATGATGGTCTGGATTATGGGGGTAGATTCCTCATGAGAGGCTTAGCACTCCCCTTGAGGTTGTGTGTCCTCATTCTGGCAAAATGGGATTCGTTCTTCAGAGAATAAATTAGTCTCCATTGGAGTAGGTTCTTATAAAGTGAGGTTCCTCTTCCTATTTGGTTGTTCTTCACATGCACCTGCTTTCCCTTTGAGTTTCTCTGCCATGTTTTGATGCAGCACAAGGCTCTCACCAGAAGCCAAACAGATGCTGGCACCATGCTTCTTGTACAGCCTGAACTATGAGTCAAATAAACCTCTTTTCTTTATAAATTTCCCAGTCTCAGGTATTCCATTATAGCAACACAAAACAGACTAAAACAGCAAGTTTATTTGTAATGTCTTTGGTTGGGTATCAGTGTAATAATGGCCTCATAAATTAAGTACAAATGTGATTCCTCCACCTCTATTTTCTGGAAGAGATTGCAAAGTTGTGTTAATTTTTTATTAAGCTTTTGGCTAAATTCTTCTGTAAAACCACCTGAGCCTCTATATTTATTTTGGATTGAGCTATGTAATTATAGATTCCATATATTTGTCGGTTGTTCAGATTGTCTATTTCATCTTAGCTAACTTTTGGTAGTTTATGGAGTTCAAGGAATAAGTCCATTTCTTTTAAGCTGTTAAATTTATGAAAAATACAGTTGTTTTAATATTCACCTATTATCTTTTAATGACTGTAGAAGGTTTAGGTCTATTCTCTGTTTCACATATGATATTATTAGTTTATGTATTTTTCCCCTATCATTTTTGTTAGTGTGGCTACAGCTTCATTTTTTAAAGCAACTTTTCAAAGAAGCATTTTTTAATTTCATTGAAATTCTATTTTTTTCCTAATTTTAATAGTGTTGATTTGAGACCATTTCATATTACTAATGTAAGCATTTAGTACTACTAATCTCTCTAAACATAGTTTTAAGCATATCTCAAATATTTTCATATGTAGTCCTTTGATTTTGTTTAGTTCTATGCATTTTTAAAAATATTTCTTTTGAGACTTTTTCTTTGAACCACAGATTTTTTAGAAGTATGCTGTTTAATTTTCTCTCTTTGAATATATATTTTCTCTTCTGTTACTGTGATTCCAATTTTTTTCATTTCTTTACATTTGTTTTATGGTTCATATACTTTATCATGGTGAATATTTTATGGCACTTGGAAAAAATATAAATGTGTATTCTACTGTTATTAGGTGGAGTGTTATATGTATATCAATCTGTTCCTGTTGGTTGAGTGTGTTATTCATACATAAAATGCTTATTCCTGCTTATTTTCCGTTTAGTAGATCAATAAGTAGCTGGGAGCATGGTAGAGTTTGAAGTCCACAGACCTAATTTTATATTTATCTGTACGTTTTCTTTCTGGTCTATTCATTTTTGATTCATGTATTTTGAGTGTCTGTACTTTGGTTCAGATGTACTCCTGATTTTTTAAAACGTGGGCATGTTACATTTTTTTTCCCAGCCTTTCACTTTTATACTACCAGTTTTATTGATTTAGAAATGACTTTCTTGTAAGAGCTGTATAATTTTGTTTTAATTCACTCTGTTAATTTCTATCTTTTGATTGCTGTACATAGATCATTGGCATTTAAGTTAGTTATTGGTATGTTGCCACTTAGGTGTGCTATTCCGTTATTTGCTTTAAATATATCTTTTGGGGTTCTTATTTCCCTGTATATCTTTCCTTGCCTTACTGAAGGTTACCTGAAAATTACTTAGGATTTAGTTTCTTTATTTATAGTGTATTGAGTGCATCTCTTTATGTAAACACACACACACACTTCGAATCCATAGATATAATGGATTCAGGTGGTACATATGCAAGTTGGTTACATGGATATATTGCATAAAGGTGGGGTTTGGGCTTCTTGTGTACCCATCTCCTGAACAGTGAACAATATACCCAAGAGATAATTTTTAAACCCTCTCTCCCTCCCAATCTCCCCCCCTTTGGAGGCCTCAGTGTCTAGTATTTTCCTCCATATGTCCATGTGTATCCGTTGTTTACCTCCTGCTTACAAGTGAGAACATGCGGTATTGATTGTCTTTTCCCGAGTTATTTCTCTTGGGGTAATGTAATTTTTGTAGAGGTTGGCCTGGTGTTTCTAATACACCTATGTGACTTATATTAGTCTACTGGTTTGAATATTTTACTCAGTACTTGAGTGAAACAGGGAAACCACATTTCCCTTAATTCTTCTTATCTCCACCACTTTCAAATATTATTGTATTAAATATCAGATTGTGTTAGAGTTTCTATTTAAATCATCAAATATGATTTTAAAAACTCCTCAGGAAAAGAAAAGTCTATTGCTTGCATTCATCCACATTTCTGCTTTTTCCATTATTCCTTGTTTATTTTGTCATGTTTCAATATTGCTTCCTTTATTAAATTTGAATAACTTCCTTTAGCCAATTTTGTTAAGGGCAGGTCTGCTAGGATAAAAATCCTTTTAGTTTTACTTCATCTGAGAATGTTTCATTTTTTCTTTATTCTTGAAGAATAATTTTACCAGATTTAAAATTCATAATTGACTATTTTTTTGGCAAGTTTTCAGACATTGCTTTTTTGAATACTCTTTCAGACCTAATCTCACTGTACATTATTATGGATATTTAGTGATACAAATACTGATTATTTGCTTATTCCTATATGATTCTCAGGCTCTGTGTATTTTTAAATTATAGTCAATTTTCTCTCTCTTTTTTAACAGTGGGTGAATATTTTATTTTTCTGTCCTCAGGTTTGCTTGTTTCATGCTTTCTGATCTTCAATCTGCTAGTAACCCTGCTGAGCAAGCTTTTTTATGTTTAACTTTTTGTTTTTGTTATTATATTGCATTGTAATACTTTATTGTGCATTATTAGTGTGTATTATGTTTTAATTTTTGTATTTAACTTGGCATTTTATGGTAACAATTTCCAAATATTTATTTTATTATAACTTCATTTACTTGCTGATGTTTTCCATTTTATTTTCATCAATAATAGTTGTAGCGATTGCTAAAGCAATTTTATGACATCTGCTTTAAAATTCCTGTCAGTTAATCCTAGCATATTATTCTTCTCAGTATTGGCATCGGTTGATTTTTTTTTTCTCATTTAAGTTGTGATTTACTGGGTTTTGGATATGATGGGCTATTTTCTACTTTATCCTAGGCATTGTGCCCATTATATTAAGAGATTTTGAGTCCCAGCTAGCTCTTTTTAAAAAATATTTGGTAGGCATTCAGTATATTTACATTTACCACAGTGATGATCTTGGCCTTCTGTTTTGAGCTGTGGTTCAAATGACAATTTAGTTTCCAGAGCCTTTTAGTGTTATTTTTATCTGTTTGGTTAATCTGGTGCCTGCTGGCAACTCTCAGATGGTGGAGGGCTAAGCGGCATCCTATCAGTGACATCTGACTTCCCTGGTGTCTCTGAGTAGAGACAAGTCTTAACCAGAATGAATAAAGACGTTATCTGGGTTGGACCATTTTCTGTGACTGGGCCCCTTTTTGAGGATTTGTTCACTCCAGTGTCTCTCAAAGGAGAAACTGATTCTCAGTCATGATAAAGAGATTATTTCCCCTGTATGTGGTTTTTTTTTGTTTTTTTGTTTTTTTGTTTTTTTTTTGAGACTGAGTCTCGCTCTGTCGCCCAGGCTGAGAGTGCAATGGCATGATCTCGGCTCACTGCAAGCTCCGCCTCCCGGGTTCACGCGATTCTCCCGCCTCAGCCTCTCGAATAGCTGGGACTACAGGCGCCCGCCACCGCACCTGGCTAATTTTTTGTATTTTTAGTAGAGACGGGGTTTCACCATGTTAGCCAGGATAGTCTCGATCTCCTGACCTCTTGATCCACCCGCCTTGGCCTCCCAAAGTGCTGGAATTACAGGCATGAGCCACCGCGTCTGGCCTGTATGCTTATTTTTAATGACAGCCTTCTCCTAGTTATTTTTCCTGTGAGTGATGTAGAAATTGCCTGGTGTTTCCTGGGGGATTTCTACTGGTTCTATGGGATTCCTTCTCTTAGATGCAGGGTCAGTAAACTCATAGTCTGAGGGGCTTTCTGTAATTTTTTTTTTTTTTTTACAGGGGGGATGAAAAAAGATCTGCTGATGTCCTGCTCCTCCTTGAGTTCCCAAACCAGCTTGACTTTTTCTTACGCTCTCAGAGTTCTCCTTTGGTTGTCTTGTGCACCATCTCCAGGGATTATAGTTGTTTTAATAGGAAGAAACAAAAGAAATTGCTCTCTGACATCTTGTATAGACCCAGATCCCATTTCTTGGATGTTTAACCTTCCTTCCACAGCAAGTTTTTCATCTATACTTTTTTTTTTTAATGTGAAAAGTATTCTCTACACTAGGAAACATAGACTTTAATGTTTACAGGAACCAAGTAGCAAACATAAATAATTTAAAAGATTAAGAAGTTAAGAAGGATACACTAAGCCTGAAGTTAAATTCTTATTTTCAATGAACAGACAGTACACACTATGCAGCTTCAGTCAAGTGTGTTTAGCGATCCAGGTTTGGCAGTAATGTGTAGCCCAATATTACAGATATCATTTTCCCCTGCCAAATACTTTGAAATTTGTATATTAATGTAACTTTCCTTATTTTTAAATTATTTTATATTCTTTAACACTGTATGGAACAAGTAAAGATCATAAATTGGTAAAGCATATGTCTGTTGTACATCATTTTCATCCTACTAGCTTCATTTTTTGTCACATTGAGACAATCTTATGATCCTTTTATTCAACAGTTTTTACATTAATATAGTGTCTAACTACACATGATTACTGAAGTTCAGAGATGGATTCTGGATGGCACTATGTTTCTTTAAATTATGGGTTCATCAATTTTTAGTCATGGGAACTGTAGGACGAATTAAATGAGATTTGAAATTAAAATTAAACAGAACAAAGCACATATACTATACGTGAGTTTTCTATGTCTATTATTTGTATATACTTCATACATACAAATGAGGACATTGTACTGTCTACGTTTATGAAATCTATTATTTATTTATGAAGATAATCATTAATCAGCTAATTCTAGAAAAGGCGAATGGAAAACGATACTATGAATACATACTGCAATCCATTCAGCCTATTATTCATCCTCACTTATCACCTCTTAGCCATGAAATCTAATGGAGACTTTTCAGTTCTTATCATGACTTGTTTTTAGCACACCTTCCTCAAATGTTCCATATATTTACTCTGTGCTTGGCTCTTCATTTTTCCCCCTTTTGTTTGAGTCCTGAGCTCACCTCTCTCCCAATCCCTTGCTTTGTTTTTGGTTATCTTATGACCTGTTTCTGAATTCTTTTTCAGTAGAGCTACATGTAAGATGGAAAATAGTTTAGTTGAATGTGTGAGAATACAATGGCCGTCATTTTGTTTTGCTAATAAGTGCTGGCAGGCAGGAGTGGAGACATCTGAGTTTCTCAAAGATAATACCCTCGGCAGAGCTACATGAGAGTGGGCAAAAATGCATAACCAATAAAATCTCAAGGTGTGGCAAAGATTTATGAGTTTTTCCATAGTTACAGAGTAAGCAGTAAAAGTTCTATAGGACAAACACAGATTTTAAGACATCCTTATGGAAAAATCATCCTTCCAAGGTTATGGAGATAGGATTCTCTCTGGCAATGAAGCAAGGATAGCTAAGATAATCAATTCCAGAAAATGATGTGCTGGACCTTAAGATAACTATGTAGGACATATAAACTTTTCAAAAGATCCAAGAATATAAAGAGGTACATAATATTAGAATTGACTAAGAGGTAGTGTTGGGCCTAAAAGAAGGAAAAATATATGGCATCAATAGTGGAGCCAAATGATAATCATAATTCTAATGATAAGAAAATCTTCTCACTGCCGATATATAGTCAATCCACAAGTGGACTGGTATCTCCTACAATGATTTCCTTTTTTCTGATGACGGGAAATAGGGAGAATATGACTCATCTAAAGTAAAGGGAACTTATAGAAGGAGAGCCAAGTAATAAAACATTTCAACACTGAAATTTTACCAATATTTAACAGATAGATACTAATATTTAAACCAAAAAAGGGGAAATTTATTGGAAGCAAACATATTACAATTTCTTATGCTGAAGGGAAATGAATATCTCTTAGAACTTGCAATGTATTATAAATATGTGCTTTTATTTTTGTGTAAATCACAACAAAATTCAAACAACAATTCACTTACTGGCCAGTCTTCACATTTTCAATAGAAATGGAAAATTGGGGTAGGAATCAAACAAGATAAGGAGACTAGAAATGATGTTCACTTTGTACCAAAAAAAAAAAAGGACAAGAAGGAGGAAAACAATATCCTAGGACAACTAATACATATTCAAATATATTTCTTAAGTGTTACTACCACACACACACAAGAAGAAAATTATAATTATTGAGGTGGTGGATATGTTAATTAGCATGATTTTGGTGATCATCTCACAATGTATTTAGGTATCAAAATATCAAGTTTTGGCCTTAAGTATATATAATTCTGTCAATTATAACTGAAGAATTTAATAGATTGGAATGAAATGAAAATAAAAACCAATAACTAATCCCCCCCAAAATTCACCTATTTGTGTTATCTATGTGTTTGCAATTGTGCTGTGCATTAGTTAAAATGGTGAACACATATAGTACTTACTTTTATTCCAGTGAGAATTGTACTAAGTCATACATTCTATTGAATATAGAACCAGAAGTCTGTATACATGTAAGATGGAAAATAGTTTAGTATTCCATGACCCTATTATTATTATTATTATGGCATTTAATATGGATGACAAATTTGGTGCTTAGTATAAGACAAGTACCATTTTAAGAGGTTTGCATGTAATATTTCATTTAACCCTTACAATGAACCTATATATTATTATTGTTTATTAGCTCCATTTTACCAGTAATTGAATTTAAGAATACAGTGAAGACAAGAGAACTGCATAAGATTTCACAACTGATAAGTGGGTGTAATAAGTCTTTGAAAGCCAGGTAATTGGGCTCTAGAACTTAGCTCTTAACCACTGTTGCTGCATTATTTCTGTTTTAGTTATAATGCTTTTCTATGCGAACTGACTAGGGTATTTACAATTAAATTTCTCAGATTTTATAACTTTTTGAAGACAACTGGAATGAAGGTTGCTAGATTTTGTTAATCTGCTAAAGTAGATACTTATTTTACCCACCAATCTGGGTTACTTTTCCAATTGGAAAGGTTTTTTTCCTAGGATAGATGAGTGTTTGTTAATTTCTCATTATGAGGAGAGCACTCGTCCCCACAAAATTCCGTACATGCTTGTTAAATCATAATCATCTAGAAACTACCCCAGATAAGCTTGTAATGTAGCAACATTATATTTATTGCAAAACCATGTCTATGGTAAAAGCGCAACTGACAGAAAAACTGCAAAACGTCACTTGATGAGAGGGACCAGAAAGAAATTTCTTTTGTAAAATTTGAGTATCCTTTGAAAGATTCTGAGAAGGACCTAGGGGAAGCAGGTCTGAATTTCGAAGGTGTGATTAAAAGAAGCAAGAGTTAACTATGGATTGGGTGCTATTATGAGATGAAAGTGGTTGATGAAGTGAGGGCAAAGGTAACTATGCAGCTGGCTTAGTATAGGCCTATTCTCCTAGCCTGATTAACAGCAGAGCTGCTTTTGCCTTTGTAATTTGAGTTGCCTTTCATTCTTTCAGCCTGAGAAAGGTTTTACTCTTTCACTATATATGATGAAACCTTTGGAAAAGGATCCTGTCATTCTACTAATTCTACACATTTGTTAATATGTTTTCATATTTACTTTCACCTTTGGCAAGATTTTGTTAATTTTTTTTCATTACAAAACAAGAACTAATTTCACATTTATATTGACATCGGCAGTCACCCTAGAAATTGTTTCTCCCTAAAATGAGACACACATTTCATCTAATGGCACTGACTCTTTCTATAATGGAGAAACAAAAGTTATGCAGTACACTGGAAACAAGTTGGAAGAGCAAAAATTTGCAAATATTTACTTAGAGTGTACTCTTGGGTGAGAGTCTTAAAACTTTCAGTGGCACGTCACTTTCTGTAGTGCTAAATATCCATGATTATTTAAATAGAATACATTTCAATGTTCTCTGAATATTGATAGGAAACCACTATCAGCATTTCCACGTCTATGCATGGAACTACGGGGCACACAGAAGTTCTTATCAAGTGATTCCCCAAGTTATATTGACCAATTGGTCTATGCTTGTTAATGTCCCTCAGGGTATCACATGTGTAGTAGATCAAATGGAACATATACGCATCCATATTTTGTAATTGCCCATTTTAGAGCAGAAATACTCACTAATACCAGGTCCTACAATTCAGTAGATTTTAATGTGAAAAATAATAAACTTCTTTCACGCTTCATTTTCCTTTTTAAAATAAATTATGTATATAGGAGTTAGACAAATCTAATAATGAGTATTGTGTCTTTATCCAAGTAATAAGGTTTTGTTTTTAAAGACACTAAACTCTATTTTGAATTTCACAATAGAGAATTCCTATCAGACTAATTTTCCTAAAGGTAGAAACTGAAATATTTAGAAAAATTACAAAGAGTGCAATAACCTATAAGTACTAGAGAGCCATAAACAGCAGAGAAATGTGGAGGAGAAACAATATGAAGAAAAAGCACTGGAAAATTTCTCCTTTTGAGGTCTTTTTGCCTTAGGGCATTATCCACTGGATGTGAGACAACAATTCTAACGGAAATCCTCACTTTGTTGTCTGATCTTGTTGGCCTAGAAGAATCAGAAAACAAAATCTGAAACTGCTATGACATCAGGTAAGTGTGAGCGAGGGATGACTTCAAAAGAAAAAGAGAGAGAGCCGAATTGGGAGAACTTCAGAATGGGTAGAGGCCTGAAGCATGTTTGTATGAGGCAGAATCCAACAGTCTAGACAAGATTAAAGAAGCTCATACAGATTTTATTCCCTGCCCCTCAGAATAATGAAACAATTAGAACTCGAAGAATAGCCAAGATAATTGCCTACTAAGCAAAATAAGCAACTTAAAAAAACAACAAAAATGAGATTGTCAACTATTTATTACTAAACATTTCAGGGGAGGTCAACCACTAAGAAAATAACTAATACACACACACGTGCACACACACACACGCACTAAGTAGAATTTAAATGTACACTGTTTAACACAAAGAAAAGCAATAATAGAGGGATAGACAAAGAGAAAAGACATAGTGCGCGCGCACACACACACACACACACACACGCACATATAAAATCACAAAATAGCGAACATAAATCCTCACCTATAACTAATGACATTGGATGTAAATGGATGAAATACTCCAATCAAAAGGCAGATATTTAAGAAATGAATAAAAATGATACAATTAATTTTTATTTACATGATATAAACTCTAGATTGCCTTGTAGAAACAGTTTAAAAGTACAAAAAATTAAAAAGACAGATAAAACCACAAAGCACTGTACAATAGCGAGCTGAGTGGCTATACTATCAGACATAACAGAAATTCAGACAAATATTATTGCTAGATAAAGAGTATATTGTATAATGATAAAAAGGGTCAAACTGTCAGGAAGACATAAAAATTATAAATATATCCATGCCTTACAAGAGAGCTCCAAAACATATGAAGCAAAACTGACAGAATTGAAGGGAGAAACACAATGTCAAAAGGTCTAAAGTAAATGTAATTGGAATCTCAGCAGAAGAGGACAAAAATAATGAGGCAGAAAAATATATTATCAGATGTAATAAAAGAAAGATTTTTAAATGTGAGGAAAGACAAAAAGTTACAGAATTAGGTAGCCCAGCAAACTATAAGTAGAACAAATATACCAAAAAACATATATAAGTGCATTGTAGTAAAACTGCTGGAAGTTAACAATTACTAAAATATTAAAAGCAGCTAAAGAAAAGAAGATATCACGTACAAACATTAGTGATGATACTAATACATGCAAACTTCTCAGAAAGACAATGGAAACTACAAAACATCAGAAAAATATTTGAATTGCTTATGGAAATAACTGTCAATTAAAAATTCTCTATTAGGCAAATTACCATTCAAGAATGAAGATAAAATAGGTACAATTTTAGGTAAAGGAAACTAAGAATGAGTTGAAGGGTAACTGAACTATAAAAAGGGTTAAAGGAAATTCTTTCCATGAAGGAAAATAATTTATGCCAAGGGGGAAACCATGAAAAACAATTAAAGAACATTAACAATTTATACAGCTGTGTGAATATAAGCAACTTATTTTCCTCTTAATTTCTTTAAACTATGTAAGAATATTTGGAACAACATTTTTAGCATTGTTTTATAGGTTTTATGTTTACAGTTATAGTATGTCCAATAGCTATAGAATAAAGAATAGTGGAGAGGATTTCTACATTTGATGTGACTACAATGAAACTACATTATAAGTTATAATTAGTATTCACATAAACAATAAAAAATTATACATCAATAACCATGTTAATTAAACAACACACTTCTAAATAGTTCTTATTTTGAATAAGAAATTGCTAAGCAAATAAAGGAATATTTTAAGCTGAATGATAATAAAAATACAATATATAACAATTTCTAGGATATGGTTAAAATAGTGTGTATAGACAATTTTTTGGCTTTAAAGATCTTCATTATAAAGAAGAAAGCACTAGAATAAATAATCTGTTTCTGCCACAGGATGCTAGAAAATAGCCCTAAAACTATTAAAGGAAATATATCTGTTAAATTTTTTTTTTCACCAATAAAATCCCAGGCCTAGAAAATTTATTTTCAAAATTCTATCACTATTTAAGGAAGAAATAATACTTATTTTATAAGGAAATCTTTCAGAAGTAAAAAGTAGAAATTATTTTAATACACTTTATAATGTTGGCATAACCTAATGGTAAGAACTGACAGACATTAACAAATGAATACAGACAAATATTCCTGAGGCCCGGAGATCAAAACTCTTAATAAAGTATTAGCAAATTAAATTAATATATGTGTGTATAGTTATACATAAAGCTTATATATATATACTAAATTTCTATCTCTTCCACGAATTTATATGTTGAAACCTAATGAAATTGTATATTTATATACAGTGTATAATATACATTCATATAATAAATATAGAATTATAAATTACGTATATATATATATGTACATATATATGCACACACGAAATTTTTGTGTCTTCCTCCAGTTCATATGTTGAAACCCAATGAAAGACATTAGGAGGTAGGGCCATTGGGGGGTGGTTAGGTCAGGAGGACAGAGCCATCATCTATGTGATCAGTGAGGTTATAAAAGAAACCCCAGAAAGCCCCCACAGCCCTTCCACCATTTAGACTCAGTGAGAAGGCACCATGGATGAACCAGAAAGTGATATCTCACTGGGCAGAATCTGCCAGTACCTTGATCTTTCAAGCCCTCAGAACTGTAAGAATTCCTGTTGTTTATAAACCACTCAGATTATGATATTTTGTTATAGCGGCCTAAATGGACTAAGAAAAAAACACATACACACACACACACACACACACACACACTTACTGTGGTCAAGAAGAATTTTCCCTGGAATGTAAGTTTCATCTAACGTTTGTCAATGAATGTGTATTTCACCATGTTAACTAAAATATAAAAGATCCCCTCAATAGATATAGAAAGCCATTTAAGAAAATTCAACAGTCTTTTATTAAAATTAAAAAAATATGTTCTCAACAAACTAGAAATAGAGGATAGTTTTTTCAACCTCATTGACCTGATAAGGGCATTTATGAAATGCCTAACATCATAGTTCATGGTATAATATTGAATACTGTTTTCTGAGACTTAGAAGTCAACTTTTCCCACTTTTATTCAGCACTGTACTAGAGTTCCTAGACATTACATTAAGACATGAAAAATAAATTGCATATAGAGGGCCAATGAAACAGCAGCAAGTGCAAGAGAAGCTCTGGGATATTCACCCAGATCTCCCTCCAGATATTCTGAGTTCTCTTTATGCAGCTCTCTCTTCCCAGTCATTTGTGATCCAAACTATAGCTCTTTTGGCCTTCATAGACCTCTAGATCCTTCTACTTTACTCAGAGACTTTGGTTTCTGCCTTGCTTCCCATATTTACACTGCAACCTGGTGACTATTGCCACTCACTATATTGAAACAACAGTGGGTGCATACATATCTATATCTATATCTAGATAGATAGATAGATACATACATACATACGTACATACCTATATTATTTTATTCTCTCATGGAACATAAACCTTTATTTATCTAATGTCAAATTTTTGAAAACCATTGATACACACAGACAAACACACATATTCTGGTTTGTAGTGTTTCAGTGGGATGGTGAATAATCTTTCTGCTACTCCATCTTATCCAGAAACAGAGGTTTACTGAAGGATATTTTCACTAGAAATATCAATCCAGATCATCAATTTGGCCTTAATAACACGACTCTTTTACTAACCTTATTCCTCTGAAATGAAAATTGAAAACATATATATAGTTACTTTGATCTGTAGAAGTAGGTGTTGCCGAGAATATAAAATTGAGACTAGAGTCATAATTTGTTAAAGGGCAGATGATTTTTTCCCAAGGAAAAGCACAATATAAGTTAAATGTTCATAACTTACAGTCTTAACCTACAGAATTGGTTTTTAAGAAAGTTAAATTGAATTTCAATCATGTAATGAAAGTTATTTCATTTTATATGACCTCTATATGACATTAACACTGTTTAGAAGTAAGCAAAAATAACTTTAATTACTAGGTTATTATTTCATTAATTCATATAAGTGAGCATCACTATGAGGAGAATTTTTGTTTGTAAGGAAACTACTATAAGGAAATGTAAGTAACCTTAAATATTAACTTTTTAAGTTGAGTCTTCTTTGGACATGTAATTTACAATATATTTCAGTTTAATGAGCGTCTTAAAAATAGAGTAATAATATTTATTGAGACAAGCTATCAAGAAATATGAAAATGCATGTTATCTTCACTTATTCACATATGTCTCTACATCTCTCTATGCATATACCTATCTAGCTGTAACGCTTCTCTGGATACTCTTGAAACTGCCTTTGCAAAAGTTATAACTGAGGAAATTATGACAGTGAAAGACATCAGACATAACCGACTCCATGTTGCTTCTCACCTTTAAGCTCTCCTTTTTCACTCCTGGGTGGAGGCCAAACTAACCTTGGGAAATAATTTAGTTTATAGTTTAACTCTGAAACAAAATTGATAATAGCCCTTTCCTGGGAAAAAAAAAAAAAAAAAAACCCTTTCTTGCCTGAGGACCAGTCTGCCTTTGTAGCACTAACATATTAGGTATTTAGAAATTAGGTATTAGGGGCCATGCCTGAACCTCTCCAAATTGCTCCTGGGAGTAACATCACTACTGTAAAACCTAAGATCAATGCTTCAGATATTTTGCAGACCCCTACACTTGATGGATCAGCTGACACCACCCAGACCAGTAATCTGGCTTATCCAGTTCTGTGATCCCACCCTGGAACAGAAGACAGCAAGAAAAACTTACTTTGACCCCCTATGATTTCATCTCCAACCTGACCAGTAAGCACTCCCACTTCCCAAACACCCACCTGCCAAAAATTTTCCTTAAAAACTCACATCCCTGAATGTTCACCAAGACTGATTTGAGTAATAAAACTCTAGTCGCTCGCATAGCTTGCTCCACATGAATTACTCTTTCTCTATTGCAATTCCCCTGGCAAAGTAAACCCATTGGGTGGTTACACTCTTAGGCAATTAAAATACAATGCAAATTTTAAGTAACATATTTTATGCTTTTCATATGTTTGATTTTTAATTTCCCTTCTAATACAATCTTGAATTCCCAGAACACTGAGAATTCTAAGAATAATCTTTGTGATCATAGATGGTGATTTTGTTTTTAACTAGGCAAAAATGAGATTAAGATCAGAAATAGGCCTGGTGCAGTGGCTCACGCCTGTAATCCCAGCACTTTGGGAGGCCGAGGCAGGTGGATCACGAGGTCAGGAGTTCGAGACCAGCCTGGCCAAGGTGGTGAACCCCGTCTCTACTAAAAATACAAAAATTAGCCGGGTGCGGTGGCAGGCACCTGTAGTCCCAGCTACGCGGGAGGCTGAGGCAGGAGAATTGCTTGAACCCGGGAGGCAGAGGTTGCAGAGAGCCGAGATCGCGCCACTGCACTCCAGCCTGGAGATAGAGCAAGACTCTGGAAAAAAAAAAAAAAAAGATCAGAAATAAAGTTTGATGATTGGGTGGAAATAAATATAAAATCAACTTGAACAGGCAAAGATCTGTAAGTGCTAATATATTTCCTATGTATTCTGACAAATGGAAAAGTGTTGTAGTTTATGAGTTAATCTGTATTGTGTCAGCATAAATGACTTGCAGAATCATCTTCCAAAAAACTGAGAAGATAGTAAAAATTGGAACATTTAGTTCAAACTGACTTTTAATCTGTTAAAATTCATCAGTGCAAACCATTTCTTCAGTCAATGTCTCCTCCACATTGCTATTTTCTTTATTTGATTATGACATTTTTGAGATTAGTATCTCTGTTTGGGTCACTTTTCAGTTCTGACACACTCAAGGTGTATTAAATATTTAATATGTTCAATAAATGTTTATTTTAATTCAATAAAGACATAAAATTTTAGTGTTTTATTAAATATTAGACCCTTTAATGTGACGATTATTTAGTTTACAAAGATCTTATATGTATCAATATTTAAGGCATATATTTTTTACATGGGAGTCTGCTTAACAAAGACACAGAAAACAAGAAAGTGATGTTTCCTTATGTTTTTGTACTTTTTATGAATTTCCTATTTCACAGTTAAATTAGAAACTATGAAAAATACTTTATTATTGGATGGCTTTATTTAAAAACATAACAGTCTCTATTTTCTACTTATAAGACATGTCATTTAAAAAACTCTGGCATGTATATATAAATGAGTACAAAATACAATTATTTTAATAATTTCCATACATGACAAGCCTTGTTCTTTAAATATATTCATACATTTTTATTTTATAAAATAAATTCAACTAAATCTTTATGCTCTTCTAAAATAATATTGAAAATAGAAATGAGTCCAATATTCCCCACAGAGAAAAGAACAGGTATCAAATATATTCTGCAGATTATACTGCTTACAAATATTAGTTTTTAAAAAGAAAAGATATGCTTTAAAAAAATTCTGTGAAATATTCACTGCAAGCAGTTGGACATAAAATGAGCAAAAGGGACTAGGTTCAATCTTTACAAATACACATGTAGCATAGTTAAATAGGAAGAGCTCCTTGCATCCTCCGTACTGAGAAGCAAATAATTTATAAGAAATAAAGAACAGTCTCATTAAAACTCTGAGGTCATTGTCCTTAAAGTGAGCACAAGTCAACCTCCATTGCTGTTAGGTAAGGTCACAAATTTCACATACAGAAAATATTCATCAATAAAGAAAAGTACTCCGAATAAAAATAAGTGCTTGATTTTGACAATGTATTTCCAAGGAAACTAAAGATAGTTGTTTTTAGAATAGTCCCTTTAAGTATAAAATGTTGTAAAAGAAAAGCAAGTAAAATAAACACGTATAGTTATAGCTAACATGTGTGATAAAATACAGACTTTCTGATAGCTATTTTAATGCATAAATTTATCTTGTTTAATTTTTAATATTGAGTTTCTATAATTAGAACAATACAGTAACTTGAACGTCTCTTTTCTCACCAATACTGAAAAAAGATGCAAGGTTGGATAAGTTTCTATTGTTTGACTCCTAAATTTCTTCTCCCTGGTATTTTCTAAATTTTATTTTACTATTCATTCATTCATTGGCTCATTAACTCAGTAATAGTACCCTATCCTGTGGTAGAGGTATTATATTCCTAGAATAAAGACCTGAATATGACATATTATTTGGGCTTCAGGAGGCTCACAGTATGATCAATATGATAAGTAAACATCAATTCTAGCAGAATGAATAAAAATGTTGAATTAGATTTCTCAGCAAAGAGATACAGAAATTCAAAAGTAGATGTTAGTTCTCATTGCAAGGCTAAGGAAGACATTACAATGGAAGCTAGAATTCCCCTTGAATAATTTGGGATTTTATTTTGGTGACATTGAAGATATCACAAATATTTATTTAAAAAATAAATTTGATTACAGCATTGACTTTGTTTTCCAGATAATTTTAGGGAATTCTGCTCACAGTTTCAGGTTGAATGCCAAAAAAAAGAGGCATGTATATTTTATAATTAGACTAATATACTATTCTAGACAGTAAATTACAAGCAAGAAAACTAGGACAACAGTGTGAAAATAAAGAAAATGTTATTTCTTGGAAATATTAAAGATGCACTCATATTGTAAAAAATATTTTATTCTTTTATCTGAAAATAATAATTTCAAATTTTTACTGATTAAAATAATTTTACAATATGATGTCTTGTTTTATTAATAAAAAGTTACTTATGGATGCAGAAATAGCAATGAACAAAATATTTTTCATATTTTATATTACATATAAAAGATATAAAAATAATTGCATGGTTTAAAAATTGATATATAATCTCTCTATAACCAAAAAACATTAGAGGAACTTGATAGAAATGCAAATGTGAGAGTTTCATACCAGAACTAGGCCCAATCAATTTGTTTTTTGGTTTGTTTGTTTGTTTTTTGGAGATGGAGCTTCGCTCTTGTTGCCCAGGCTGGAGTGCAATGGCACGATCTTGGCTCACCACAACCTCCGCCTCCCGGGTTCAAGCGATTCTCCTGCCTCCACCTCTCAAATAGCTGGGATTACAGGCATGCGCCACCACGCCCGGCTAATTTTGTATTTTTTTTTTTTTTAGTAGAGACGGGGTTTCTCTATGTTGGTCAGGCTGGTCGCGAACTCCCAGCCTCACGTGATCCGCCCGCCTTGGCCTCCCAAAGTGCTGGGATTACAGGCGTGAGCCAGCGCTCCTGGCAGCTGTTTGTGTTTTAACAAGTCCTCCGTGTGATTCGGAAACAGACTCAATAGTCCCATAGGCAGATTTTTTGGATAAACATAGAAATTTACCATTCTGGTCTTAAAACTTGAAGCTTTTATTTGTTTTATTGAATTCCTTCCTTACGAAATGTTCCCTTGTTCTCCAAAAACTGTCAAAGAACATAAACTCACCAGATCAGCTCATCCAGACAATGAGATGCCAGACCCCTCATCGCTCGTGATTGCTTCCTTACCCCTCCCTAGTTCATGTTTTCTCACACATAGTTGTATTTCTTTCCTGCTATTATAAACCCCTAATTTTAGTCAGGGAGATGGATTTGAGACTGATCTCCCTTCTCCTCTGCTACAGCACCCCATTAAAGCCATCTTCCTGGGTAATACTCATTGTCTCAGTGATTGATTTTCTGCGTGGTGAGCAGCAGGACCTAGGCTGGATCTAGTGTTTTGGTTAACAATTCTGATGAGCACCAAAGTTTAAAAAACATTGAACTATGGTGCCAGGCAGGAAAGAGCAGAAAGTGATTGGAAAGTTACTGAATATTAGAGGAAATTCAAAATTTTTGTATTAGGAAATTGATGGAGTTCTTATTTGGTAAACTCTATTTCTCATTTGAGCTAATAAATAAGAAGAGTGAGAGGAGTAATGAGAATACTGGAGAATTAAGAAAACTTTTAAGTAATCTTCAGACAGAAAGGAAACCGTGTTCAGAACACTTGCTTGAGAACAATTGTGTCTGTGACAGATTACATAGATATTTTCCTCTTCTGAAATTCTACATTTTATTGATACAGTGACATAATAATATTTTCTAGATTTTTACTTTCTATATAATACTCTTAATGTTAATATGCTCTTAGTTCTGTTGGTGTATTTTAGGTCTTTATGTTTAGCTTAATTATGGCAAGGGCTATTGCCTTCTACTATTTTGCTTCTTTAAGTTTTCCTGGAATGAGGTTTCAAAACAGTCCATAAATGTTTAGAAACGAATAATTTGATTAATACATGACTAAATGCTATGGAGACCCAAGCAGAAAATAAAAACAAGTTGAAGGCTTAAAAATATAATGGACTGTGCTTCCTATTATCTTGGCACATTTGAAAAGTTAATAACAATATTATGAAGTCAAGTGAATCTAAAAAACTCTCTTAGAGAGGTTGTGAAAGTAACAAAAACTATTGTTTTCTGAATTATTGCTGGGCATATTAAGCTGCAGTACTGGAATCTATGTGCTGTCTGCCTGCTGTAACTTGTCACAAAACAAGCAACCATTTGTGCTTTGAAATTTCCTTCATTCACAGAGCAATTCCTGGACATAATGTGCTATATGCATTTTTTAATCCTGCAATTTACTTATCCTATTTCATGTTGTCCAATAAAAATGAAGAGGGAGCAAGTCCATGGAAAATGCTAGTACTTCTTTATTGCTCATGTATTGAAAGATTAAAAATTTGTGATGAATACAAGAAGGTCTCCATAGCAACACATGTAGTTAGACAACGTTCTAGATGATTATCAGTGAGAGAAGTAATATCAACCGATTAAAAATGAATGGCACTTATTTCCATTGAGACGAGCCTGACAAATGGAGTGACAGGGCTCAAGGACAAATGAATATCAAGGAAGATTGGCCTGTCTCACTGAGTCATGTTCAAGCTGTTCTACAGCCTTATATAAAAGTGAGAGAATCTCTGCTCATTCTTAAAGTGCAAACCTTGCCCAGCCTCAGAACCCCACTGTGGATGTTGGCACAAATATTACGAATATTATGAACCATGTGAAAATTCAAAAGCACTCTATTAACCACAAATGATCTTGAATATATTTCAGTTTATTAAAGAAACAGAAAGGAAGGCTCAACACAGGTATAAATACTAATCGTTGTTTTAAGTTCTTGAAAAACTGTCAAAAATTTGGAGTTACTGATAAAAATGGTAGGAAATATGTACTGTAACCATTTGAGACATCTCGACTACAACATAAAATTCATATTATAGAGTAAAATGCCCCATTATTAAAATTAGTCTCGTTCGTGTTTATCATTTCTTAAATGCTTTTAAAGTCTTACTTTTCGCATTTCAAGAGTGGAGCCAAAATGTCAGGTTAGTTCTATAGTGAAAACATTAATTATAGCTTAAAAACTTATACTAAAGTTTTAAAAAATTTACACGCAGAATGATTCAACTTCTACAAGTAATAACTTTTATCATTTTGTAAGCAGAATGGACTATAATGTGTACTGAGTACACTACCATTGATCTTGTATACTGTGATTGTTTCAGTGTATAGATTTTATAAACCACATCATTATTTAATTTCAATATTATCACTAGTTAAAATGCTAGTTTAATCTATTAGTTTTTTAGGGCTGCTGTAACAAATTACCACACACTTGGCACTTAAAACAACAGAAATTTATTTTTTTCACAATCCGGAGGCCACGACTCCAAAAGCAAGGCGTAGATGGGGCTGCAACTCCTCTTGAATCTCTCAGTTTCTGGTGCCTGTTCTCATTCATTGTTTTATGGCTGCATCAATAAAATCTTGACCATCTTTACCTTGTGCTCTCCTCTGCTGTGTCTGTTTAATAATTCTCTGTCTCACTCTTTGAGAACACTTATAATTGAATTTAGCCCACTTGGATAATCCAGGACCAGCTCCTTCATTCAATTACTTAATCACATACTTTGCCATAAAAATTAATATTCACACTGTACACATATCTTTTTGGGGGCCACGATGAAGCCTCCAATAGTCTCACATTTCAATTAAAACATATGGTTTAATCAATTATGTTCTTTGAAAAAATTGTTTTAACTGTAATTTATGATCAAATGAATTTGTAAAACATAAAGATTGTATCACTATGACCTATAAAAGAACCAAAGATATTTTCCAATCTGAACAAAAAAAAATAGTGCTTAGAAATTCTTTTTCTTAATAACTGTAGAAAAAAAATTACTCTCTATGACTTATTTCATGACATAGTTTCTTTGGTTCAAAAGCATTTTTATTATCAAATATTGCTTTAAATAGTATAGCCTCAACAATGAAGCAGAAAGTCAAGTCCAGTAATGCATACATATATTTATGTCTAAAAAGTAATGAAGCATCTTTGGTGATAGGCAAAAATCTAACCTTTTGTTTGTTTGTTTGTTGAGACAGGGTCTCATTCTGTCTTCCAACACTAGAGTGCAGTGGTGCCATTTCAGCTGACTGCAGCCTGGTCTTCCTGGTCTCTAGCAATCCTCCCATCTCAGCTTTCTGCGTAGTTGGGATCACAGGTATGTGCCACCACACTAACTTTTTTTTTTTTTTGGTAGAGATAATGTCTCACTATGTTGCCCAGGCTGATCCTGAAATCCTGAACTCAAGCCGTCCTCCTGCCTCAGCCTCTGAAAATGCTGAGATTACCTGCATGAGCTACCATGCTTGGCAAAATCTAACTTTTAAGAAACTTTCAAAAACATGCTTTTAAAAAAAATCAGTTATAAAACTATTGAGGATAATATTTAGAGATCTTTCATAGCTATTTACTGAATTTCAACTAAGTATTATTTTGAGTGTTCTACGATACCTTGTGTAATATAATTGTAATTTTTTATTGTTTCTATTGACCTACAGCTTTTCATTGTAAATAAAATAAAGTCACTGTGAATAATATACTTCTCTTTTGTCAGAATGTAAAACTTTAATCCATTTGCTTCATGTATCTAAAATTTATTTTTGATTTGATTTGAATTATATATACTTAATGTATTTGTTGATACATTTAACAATTTAATTAAGTAGTCACCATTAATTTACCCTCATTAGAATTTATTTTTTAAAATTAAATAAAAAGTGACAAAACTAATTTTGTTCATCTCAGTTATGTTACTTTATATGTGATGAATTAATTTGTATTGAAAGTATAGTTGGGTTTACAGGTAGTTAGTAAACAATTCTTTAAAATGCTGTAGAAGTTTATAGTTAACTATGTTATAAACATTAATATTTCCACATCTAAATTTGAATGTGGAACAGTGGTTACCTAGAAAAACATAAACATTTCTTTGAAGAAAATCAGAAAATCTTGAAAGACAAGACAATAAACTGCTGTAGAATTTTCAACCTGCAAAAGTTATGCATATATATATATACATAGGTATACTATTTGTTTCCTAGCTTCCTTTGCCACTTCAAAAGTCCCAGAGATTAATGTTTTAAAGGCGACAAGAGCATGTCAAGAAATAAGAACAGAGCTTATTTTGTACTGAGGCAACAGAAATATCATGTTGTAAACATGTTTATTAACCTTGGCTTAGAGAGCAGACAGACAGCCTACTGCTGTGTTAATAACCAACCTGAAGAGGACAAAATGAAAATGTAATTATGTGACATCAAAAGCTTATTGATTTGTCAAAATGCAATCTTTCAAGCATTTTTTTTACTATTATTCTGCCAGAATTCTCTCTCATTAACCTCTTCATATTTTAACACCAGGAGTATCACCATTTATGAAAAATAAATGTAACTGAGATAATTTCAGTTTATCAAAAGATGTTAATTTAAAGGTTTTCTAGGAAGAAAAATATTAAAAATTATAAAAAAGAGTATGGACACTAGTTTTATGAAAGTTGTATTTTAAAGTTATTCATGCTTGAAGGAGTGGCAATGGATATATATTTCTTATTTTATTTGTTTAAAGGATTCCAGGTATATATGCAATACTTGCTATAACTAGGGAAAAGAAGGCCATGACCATATAGTCAATTTAAAAACTTAAAATTATAAATGATATTATTACGTTTAGGTACAATGAAAGGTTTACCTTTGGTTTTGGAGTTATTTTAGAAATGTTCTTAAAGTCTTAATTCTTAAATTGAAGTTAATACTCCAAATATATATATATATATATATAGAGAGAGAGAGAGAGAGAGAGACAGAAACACAGAGAGAGAGAGAGATTAAGAATAAATTGTTATATTAATTAACTTTTCAGTTACTTAACGACTTAACATTTTACAGAATTAAGTTAGTTTAAACTTTTGGAGAGAAGTGTTATATTTAAAAACATTCACATAGAGCAATATTAATTTGATAAAATATGATAATAGCAAAAAATCAGGTATTATAGTTAACTTATATTGATATAAATACCTACCTAGTTTCTCAAATGCATATTCTTATATCTATGTCTTCCAGCTTGTATACACACACACACACACACACACACACACACAAGTTTACACAAAGACAACATAAAATAGGAAGGAAAATTAAATCTCTTCTAAGCCCAAAAATGTAGAAAACTATGAGAATGCATCAATGAAGCTATGATAAATGTCTACATTAAATATCAAATATTCATTGAATGGAACATTTAATGTCACTAAGCTTTTATCCAGCAATATATATAAAAGTATTTGTTCTATATCCCAATGTGTGTATATGCATTATATATTGATATATGGATATGTCCCTGGATTTGAATACATAGCTGCAATATATTTACTATGTATTTTTTCTTTTCGACACATATTATAAGGTTATTCAACCTTTCAGTGAGAATAGATTATACCAGATTTTTCTAAAGCAAAGTGACTTGTATTAGAAATACTTAAGCTCCATTAAACTCCATTGTTTTTCTTAATTATTTTCCCTTTTACTCTCATTATCATAGACTTGTCATTAGTACAAAAACCTTTTTATTGAAATATTGCAAAATAAGTTTTACATTATTTACAATATGCAGATAGAAGAGTATTTCTTCATCAAGACGCTAGCTACAGAACTTGTATAATCAAATTTGAAATTCTTGGTCTTACGTGTTCTACATAGATGTATAATTTTTATAGTGAAATTTGACTAAGAGAAGTACTAGGATAGCCATGCCAAAAAGAGGGAAAACTGACCACTATCTTGCCCACAATTAACCCAAATAATTATTATAATAACTTTGATAGTAAACACTATTTTTTAATGAATGCTACTTACTAAACAGCATTCCAACTATCTTTTATATTATTAGTTCCTTTTATTCTTATATCAATTTTATGAAATAGGTATTAATGTTTTATTTTTATAGATAAAAATTCTGAGAATTTATAGAAAGTACATTTAGTACAACTAATGAAAACACTATTCAACTCCAGTTTCATATTTATTCCCTTAAAAATTATCTACTTCGTTTTATATTAATTTTTTGAGAGAACCCAATTTAATTTAATTTTTCATATAGACCCTTCAGAAAGTAGTATGAAGTGGATGTTCAACATGTTGATAATATGTTCTTTAATTTGAGGAAATTAGATAAAACCTAAAAGAAAGTAATTTGTCAAATGATCTGGAGAGCTCAGTAACACATTGAGGCTGGACAACATAAATGTGTCCAACTAATTTAAATCCAAGTAGGACAAAGGAGCCAGAAAACATGCAAAATATTATGAAATAAATTTCATGTGAAGTTTCAGATGATATATTAATTCATTTTCACACTGCTATAAAGAACCACCTGAGACTGGGTAATTTATAAAGAAAAAAGGATTAATGTTGTCATTCATTCTACAATAGAAGTCAGTCTTGCAACAGTTGAAACTCAAGAGCTTGATGTCCTCACTGCATTCAACAGGTGTGGCTTCTCCATTATTTCTATCTTCTGAGGCAAAGTCTTGAGTGGATCTGCCTAATTAGTGCCACCAAGTTTGGCTGTTTGTGGGCAAAGGAAGGGAATGTATTATGCTTTATTCTGTGAGGAGGTGGGATATATTAGTAAGAGTCCCCCAAAATACTGGCCACCAAGAAAGCAAGAAAAATGTACAATAAAACTATACTATGTGGAAAATTAAACCTATCAAGGTCTATAATTGGTGGATACAAAGGTGCCAAAGTTGTTGTGGGAAGTCAGGGACCCCGAACAGAGGGACCTGCTGAAGCTGTGACAGAAGAACATAAATTGTGGAGATCTCATGGACATTTGTTAGTTCTCCAAATTAATACTTTTATAATTTCTTACACCTGTCTTTACTGCAATCTCTGAACATAAATTGTGAAGATTTCATGGACATTTATGACTTCCCCAATCAATACTCTTATAATTTCCTATGCCTGTCTTTACTTTAATCTCTTAATCCCATCATCTTCGTAAGATGAGGATGTATGTCACCTCAGGACCCTGTGATGATTGCGTTAACTGCACAAATTGTTCATAAAGCATGTGTGTTTGAACAATATGAAATCTGGGCACCTTGAAAAAAGAATAGGAAAACAGCGATGTTCAGGGAACAAGGGAGATAACCATTAGGTCTGACTGCCTGGGAGCCAGGCAGGACAGAGCCATATTTCTCTTATTGCTGAAAGCAGGTAAGAGAAATATTGCTGAATTCTTTCCCCAGTAAGGAATATTAATAATTAACAGCCCTGGGAAAAGAATGCTTTCCCGGGGGGGGGCCCTAAAATGTCCTCTCTGGGAGTGTCTGCCTTGCGCAGTTGTAGATAGGGATGAAACATGCCCTAGTCTCCTGCAGCGCCCCCAGGCTTATTAAGATTACAAAATTCCTGCCCAGTAAATTTTAGTCAGACCGGTTGTCTGCTCTCAACCCGTGTTTCCTGATGTTTATCAATGGCAATGCATGCACAGTGGGACCGGGAACCTCATTAGTAATTCTAGTTTCACCCTGGCCTTGTGAATTTGCCCTGCTCATTGGCCTTGTGATATTTTGTTGCCCTTGAAGCATGTGATCTCTGTGACCCACGTCCTATTCATACACTCCCTCCCCTTTGAAAATTGCTAATAAAAACTTGCTGGTTTTGCGGCTCAGGGGGCATCACGGAACCTGCTGACATGTGATGTCTCTCCCGGACACCCAGCTTTAAAATTTCACTGTTTTGTACTCTTTCCCTTTATTTCTCAGACCAGCTGACACTTAAGGAAAATAAAAAAGAACGTACATTGAAATATCGGGGGCCGGTTCCCCCGATAAAAGGTGATAACCAACAGAGTTTTAAATATGGAGGATATGTTGAGTTAAAAATCTAATTCACTCTTCTCAGATAACATAGCATGTGCTTTTCTCCTATTATAAGGCTTTCTGTAATAAGGGGGCAAAAATAATTATAAAGAGAGCATAAGAAAAACTGACTCAAAAGCAATAACTCACCAAACAAAATGCATAAATATATTGCCACTATGCCTAACGAGAAAAATTGAAGTGCAAAAAATATTTTATTTAATTTTAACAGCAAGCATATTCAAACCTAGTTTTCTAGTTCTTCTAAAGATTCCTTATAGAATGCAGATCATTTATTACAAGTATTCTTCTTAAATTACTAGAATCAAACAATTCAAATATTTTTGAGGACTGCTATATGAAACAATCTGTATTTGAAATTACAAAACTGGTTATAATAAATTTTAAAAACTTAATTTTCTAGAAACTATAAATCGTTATTCTGAAGAAACTGATGTTTGATTATATAGAATAGTATTTAGTATGAAATATTTTTGAAAAATATTCTGCATTTTTATTATGTATGTTAATATGAATTTGATTACTTATGCTCACTAGAGAGAACTTTCCCACATAGCCTGAACCATCTGCATTCCTTATATTTGGACTGTATTTCTATACAGGTGAAATCATACACAAATGTAAAAGGAATCCTTAAAATAACAAAATTCACATTTAATGCACAGTGTATTATTTTAATAAATTCTCAAAGTCCAGTGAAACTGGATGGATGGATGAATGGATGGATAGATGGATAACTGGCTGTAGCAGAATATATCATAATGACCTTACCTAATGTTTGAGCTAGACCTTGTAAAAATATACACCAAAATAATGTTTCCACTTCCCATATCATTTCTCTTAGTTGTAACAAAACTGTTATTCCTCTAGTTCCCCAAGACAGAACTTTGCAATTAATTCTTATTTCTTCTCTATCACTGTCCAGTTCACATAAATCATTTAAATGTAATCAGCATCACACACAAAATAAAAGCAATAAAGCATATAAGAAGAGAATAAATGTTTTCCAAGATTATTCAGCATGAGAGGATTTTTGTAATAACAACCACATAAAATTCTTAAGTTATTATTTTTTAAATTCTAATTTTGGATGCAGGAAAATTTAGTCTCAGTGAAAATTCACCCAAGCTTACAGAAGAGACAATGATAAATTCTGTGTGCAATATCGAGTTTAAGCATCTGGGCCTACGAAGGCATAGATTTTCATTTGTCTAGTTGTTGTTTACCCTTATACAACATATTATTGCAATTGAATTTGCTAATTAGTATTTTATCATTATTATTAGTAGTAATAGCATATAGAATGTAACTATGGAATTTATTTCATTTCTGCCATGTACCATGCTACTAGTCCCCGTTGTTTTATAATAGGTCCCTTAAAATATGTCAGAAAAGGCTGGGCACAGTGGCTCATGCCTGTAATACCAGCACTTTGGGAGGCCAAAGCGGGTGGATCACCTGAGATGAGGAGTTCGAGACCAACTTGGGCAATATGGCAAAACCCCATCTCTACTAAAAATACAAAAATTAACTGGGCATGGTAGCACATGCCTGTAATCCCAGCTACTTGGAAGACTGAGGCAGGAGAATCGCTTGAACCCAGGAAGCAGAGGTTGCAGTAAGCTGAGATCGTGCCACTGCACTCCAGCCTTGGCGACAAGAGTGAAACTCCATCTCAAAAAAAAGTCAGAAAATACATTCTGTACTCTCGCATCTATCAATAAGTATATTAAATGAAGGAAGTCATTGAACCTTTTAAATATATTTTCTCTGCAAATTGGTTGGCTAGTCAAGGTAATCTCTGTAGATGTTTTGGCTTTTAGTATTTTTTACTAAAAAAAGAAAGATAGGTAAATAATATCATACATCATACTGATGACTAATTTCTTAAATGTGATTTTTCAACATATTATCTATTGGTATTCCTATTATAGAAACTTAAATTATTTTTTTATTTCTGCCAACTTTAGAATCTTCTAGTTCTTTCACTTGTATATTGATAATTTAGCTGAAATGATCTTTTGTTCCTGTACATTTCATCAATGTTACTGTAAAACCATTAGCTATATTTATTTTATTTTATTTTATTTTATTTTATTTTATTTTATTTTATTTTATTTTCAATACAGGGTCTTGCTGTGTTGCCTAGGTTGGAGTGCAAGGGTGCAATCACAATTCACTGCAGCATTGATCTCCCAGACTCGAGCAATCTTCCAACCTCCTAAGTAGCTGGGACTACAGGTGCATACCACCATACCAGGCTAATTTTTAAAACAATATTTTGTAAGGAGGAGATCTCACTATGTTGTCCAAGCTGGTCTTGAAATCCTGAGCTCAAGGAATTCTGCCAACTCAGCCTGCCAAAGGTATTGGGATGACAGGCATGAGCCACCACACCTGGCTAATGTTATTTTTAAATCTTAATTTAACTTCTATACTTCTTTCTTACATTGGCCATTTATCAAAGATACATCTATATTCAAGACAAGAAGAAGAGAAGGTTAGTGAAAGAGGGAAAAATATCTTTCTATTTTTTTTCTATTTTGCACATCAGTAAAAACAGGAAAACAGCCACAGAGCAGGGAGAGGCCACGCTAGCAAACGGTACCTTGCCTTAAATTAAGACGACTGCTTCCATGAGCAAAAATGCACAGTTTTACCATCAATACTTACTCATTCTCACTGGTTTAATGGCATAAATGTGTATAAAACTGAAGATATGACAAAGAAATTAAGCTGAAAATATGTGCTAATCATTGTTTGTGAGTGTGCATGTGTTCTTTATAAGAGATCTGTACATTTAAAAGTTCTGTTCTCCTGTTCCTAACATTTTCTCTGAGAGCTCAGAGATAACTAATAGTACTGGTTTAAGTCGGGTGTTATAAATTAACAGCACTGCACCTCACCCACAAGTGACTCATTAGTAGGAACATATGATCATGCAATCCTATTGACATATACTATTACACAGTTTCCATTAATGAAAAAAGAATATATGAAATGTGGGAATTGAGAGTTGAGATTCATGTATTCACAGTAGAAAACATAAGTTTCTAGTGTTTCTTAAGTGGGCTGTTGATATGATGTTGGCTAGATAATACTACCTTCAGGTTTCACTGTCACTAGGTTTATAATTTTAAGGTTATGTCCTTTTTATGTCCATGAAAACTTTTTACATTATGGGTTTTGGGCTATAATAGAATTCTATATCCAGAGATATGGCTACCACATGTCCTATTTTTAGAAAGTATGGAGTTTTTCATTATTTCACCTCAGATTATTTAAGATATAATTATATCTTTTTTATTTAGAAAGAGAATTTGATTCATCAAGCCACCTAAAAGAAAACGAGAACATGAAATAAACACATATGAAAGGTATTAACTCTTTCTTAACCTCAGTCTCCTCGAAAGCAGAGCCTAAGTCAAGACCCTGGACCAGTGATGATTTAGAAAATGATCTCTGAAAGCAAGAAAGAGAAGCCAAAGGAGTTGACTGAGGTAAGAAGAAAATCAATATAAGAAGCATTACCAAGGTGACCGCTGCTAAGGCTGATTGGTAAGCTTACTCATAGACTCCTAGAGGCTTCATTTTATGGTTTTGTGCAAAAAAGATTAAAGAAAATAGGCTGTATTTTTAAGGAGAGACCTAAGCTTCAAGGCAGTTCTTAAGCTTCACATTAACTTTCTAGAGTTGGAAAATCTCTAAATAAAATACATTCATAAGTCCTTTTTCAAGTAGTAGAGTATTGGAGTTTTTCCACTGACTTTAAGACTTGGAATTTGGAGAAAGAAAATAGGTCAACAGTGTTTTTGGAATGAAAATATTTCTGGGTGGTCTCCTGTAACCAAAGATGAGGAAAGAGAGGATTCTAAGCTTTGTGCCCCAAAAGTCTACATTCCTGAAAGTCACATTCTAAATGCCTAAGCCTTAAACTCCTGAGAGAGACATTAAAAGTGGATTTGCAGAGTGACCTGTGAAAATCATATTAGGCATAAATGGGAGGTTTTCATTTGTTAATGTGTGTTTGCTACCAATATAAGTCTGACGCCAAAAGAGTTTGATCAGAGCATCAGTAGAATCACCATGGCTTCCCTCTGACTCCAGAAAGCTTAAATGTCAACATTTGAACATGGGGCCATACAAGCAATTCAAAGATTAAAAAATACACGAATGCTATTCCGGAATATTCTGCCTCCCTGACAAAAGTAGGAAGTGTTTATCCATAAGATGCCATCCCCAATTACTCAAGGTATGCCATGTTGCCTCTTCTACCTTTTCTAGGTGTGAATTTGTGACTGCCTCATGCTTTATCACAGTTATCATCCTTCATGAATCAGAGATTTCCCAGAGGAGGAAATGGAAGATCCATAGCAAAATTTGCATCAGGAGGCTGACCTTGCACCTAACAAGAATAATCAAAGCCTGCTTAAAAGTGGTTGCAGATAAAACAACTTGAGGTGGAGTTGGGACCAAGAGTACTTGTCATGGCATGCAACTGTTGACCTATAACACCTGCAGTACTGCTCCATGCAGTGTTAACTAAAGAACTAACTGATATGAGTTACTTTGATCACAAAGTACAATTTTTATAACAGTACTACTTAGGTGAAATCTATTGAATTAAAGTATAAAGTAATTTTTATTTTTCAACATCTTGAATCTACTATTTTAGAATTTCTAGGATGTTATAAAAGCAAGAAGAACCATATCAACTGAGGATTTAGAAACAAAGTGACAAGGGAACCTGGAGGAAACATATTTTCAGCTGGAGATTGAACACATGACCACCAGGAAAATTGTTACAACCTGGAAGTACGTTGGAAATAAATTTGAGCTTCCTCAAATTTATTTGAGGAAAGCAGGGTTAGGAAAGCAGGGTTAGGAAAGAGGGTTAGGAAAGCAGGAATTTTTGTGAGGAAAAGGAAAATTATGAAGACATAGAAGATTGTTTTCTGACCAAAAACGATGGTTTATTTATAGTTTAGATGTTCTGTAATCAAAACCAAATCATCTATGAAATAATTTGAACTTTGATATATGTTTTGTTATCTGGGGAAAATAGTTTGCTGTTTTGAAAAATTCACACACTTAATTGGCAGACTTCTCAAAACAGTTGTTTTTAGTAAAACAGTACATACTCTTTAGCTGTTTATAGTTGAAATAACTGTAAGGCTTGTATTAAAAAACTAGAAAGAGTAAAATTTAATTAACCTAACAAATGAACACAGAAGAAACAGGATGCATCCACAGGTGGTAAATCATTTCAACTGTGAGTGAAATGGGAAAGCAAAAGTAATAGCCAGCTGTTCAGAGCAGTGCAAATTGTACGCAGCAAACCTGAACTGAAAATCCAAGCTATGGCTTAATGTAATTCCTTCAAGGCAACAGATGCTCATAGAGGTAGAGAGGAGGAGGGCAATTTATTGTAGAAAATTACATTTTTATTATGATCTGTGATCTAGATATTAAATTGAAGATCTCTCATAGTCGGTAGTCCAATATTGGAAACACAATTTAGTTCTACTAGCATAGAAAATTAAGATTCAGTATTCAGTATTAAGCTTCAGTATTCAGTAATACTTAGTATAACCATCTGGAATGAGACCCTGTTAGTATACCATTCACTCTTAGGCAGATGCTAGACAAACTGTATGGAGTATAAAAAATGAAATAATTAAAGGTCTTTCTCAAAATAAAATATTTTTTCATTGTTTACAGAGAGTAGAAAAAGAAAAAGATTCAATATTTATTTAATAACTGACAAAAATGATGAACAAATCAATAGAAAAATATAGACATAATTTTTTTCTTAATAAACACATAATATGAACCATAGTAAATAATAATCACCCACAATATTAAAGCAACCAGGAGATTCCATTAATGAAAATGGCAGGAAAAAAGACACTAATTATCTCCACCAAAATAATCACATATTGGTGTTTCCATAATTTTAGTAGTTATAATTGTGTTTAATTAGGATTTCCCACCACATGAAAAATTATTCCTGAATGTGAGGAATTTCCAAAACATTTTTTTAAAAAACTAATTTGAGGCCAGACACAGTGGCTCATACCTGTAATTCCAGCATCTTGGGAGGCTGAAGTGGGTGGATCATTTGAGGTCAAGAGTTCAAGACCAGGCTGGCCAACATGGTGAAACCCTGTTTCTACTAAAAATACAAAAATTAGTCAGCCATGATGGCATGCACACCTGTAGTCCCAGCTACTCGGGAGGCTGAGGCAGGAGAATCACTTGAACCGGGGAAGTGGAGGTTGCAGTGAGCCGACATCAAGCCACTGCACTCAAGCCTGGGAGACAGAGCAAGATACCATCTCAAAAAAGAAAAAAAAACTAATTTGTTTAAGAATTATAGTATATGCACTACATATCTGAGAGAGGATTTAAATATTTTACCACTTCTTTTAAAATGAGGAAATCCTGCAGCTTTAAGCTGTCTTTGATATTTTCATTAGCATATGTGTTACAGTCACGTAAATTATGAACCAAGAACACAATGTTATTATTTTGTTTTAAAGCCATGAGTATTTTTTAAAACTCAAGAGTGAAAATAAAGTGTTTCCTATTTTACTTATATTCATATACACAATGTCCTTTCTTCTGTCTTAAAAAAATAATTCTTTTTTTTATGTCATTAGCAGCTAATATTTTTATGTCGTGGCAGCTAATACGTTTTAAAAAGTGATATTTAGCATTTTTTGTAATGCATGTTCTTTGGTAAAAGAAATATTTGTTAATGTTACTTCATTAGAAACATCTTTATATAGCTTTCATTCTTGTAGTACTCTGTATTTTTGTTAGATATAGAATACCAGGTTGACATCTATTCTTAGCAATTGAAAACTAGTTTTCCACTGCCCATAATTTCTGAATACTCAATCAAGTTTCCTTACTTGCAATATGTCATTTTTCCTCTTATTTATGTCAACTCGTTCACTGGTTTTCAGCTATTTGGCTGTAATATACCTATGTGAGTTTTGTTGGTTTGTTTATATTCCATCTTGTTTTGTGAGCTCTTGAATTTCCACATTTATGTAAATATGTTTATTTTCAACAAGCAGGTATTATACTCCCATTCTTCAAAGTACTCTCTTCTTTCCATAAGGACTATAATTACACATATGTTTGAACTTTTAATACTGTCACACATATCACTGAGTTACTTCTTTCAATAATTTTCTTCTGTTTTTCAAATTAGATAATTTCTATTGGTCCATCTTGAAGCTTGATGTTTCTTTCCTTTCCATTGGCATTTTGCTCATAAGTTTAAATAGTGAATTTTTTTAGATACTGCATTTTTCACATCTAGAATTTAAATTTTGTTTACGAGTATATTTCTGCAGAGACTGTTTACCTTTTTACTCATTATAAATTTTCTCTACATTCTTGAACAAAGGTGTAATAACTGCTTTAAAGAGTTTTGTTTTTTTTTTTTTTTGCTTTTTGCAAACTCTAGGTTATTCCAATTTTGGTCTCGTGAATTTTCTTTTCTTGACAATAAGCCATATTTTCTGTTTTGTGGGGATTTTTTGACATTGAGAATAATATGATATACTGTAGAAATGACGCATTCTGCCAAATTTCTCTGAAGAATATTATATTTTTAAGAAGGTAGTTGATTTGGCTGAATTCATACTGTAACTATTTCTTAAGCAACAGAGAGTGGAGTAAATTTCAGTTCAATTCCTTTAACTTTAGCTTACCTGCATGAAACTTGATTATACATAAGTGGTTCATGGATCCATAATAAAATGAGCAAGGAGTACAGGTAATATGCAGAAAGTCAATCTCACTTCTTTGACATTTCTCACTTTTCAAAACTCTGGTTGACCCAAACCCTAGCACATGTTTTTTCAGGACAAGATTGCATGTTTTCTGTTAAAACTTTACTTCTTATTGTACAAACTTTGATAAGATCTATAAAAATAAGCTTCAGATATATTTGGGAACTGTCACAGTATTCATCGTACACTGGGAATTATTTGCCTCTTACTCTACAATATAACTCCCAGCCTCTCACCTCAGGCCACAATGGTCTTTTAGGTAATGCAATGTGCAATCCTTCTTACCACAGAGCCTGTGCTTTTGCTATTGCCATTGTCTAGAACCCAGCAGAACTGTATTAGTTTGTTTTCACGATGCTGTGAAGAAATACCCAAGACTAGGTACTTTATAAAGAAAAGAGATTTAATTGACTCACACTTCTACATGGCTGGGAGGCCTCAGAAAACTTACAATCATAATGGAAGGGGAAGCAAACACATCCTTCTTCACATGACAGCAGGAGAGAGAAGTACTGAGCAAAGTGATCGAAAGCCACTTATAAAACCATCAGATCTCATGTGAACTCACTCACTATCACAAGAACAGCATGGAGAAACCTCCCCCATAATCTAATCACCTCCCAGGAGGTCCCTCCTCCAACGCATGGGGATTACAATTTATGAGGAAATTTGGGTGGGGACACAAAGCCAGAATACATCATTCTGCCCCTGACACCTCCCAAATCTCATCTTTCTCACATTTCAAAACACAATTATGCCTTCTCAATAGTTCCCCCAAATTTTAATTCATTTCAGCGTTAACCCAAAAGTCCAAGTCCAAAGTCTCACCTGAGATAAGGCAAGACTCTTCCACCTATGTAGCCTGTAATATCAATAACAAAGCACTCCTTTAACAGCATAATCTAACTCTCACAGACAAGTGAAGATTGTCTACTGGAAGAATTGGGTTTTGCATTCATGATTGATGAGATTGTTGTAAAAAGTAAAAAGAAACAGTTTACTGATGGCACACATATGTGAGTTGCTGATAAGATGCTTTTTGGGTTCCATTATTATGCCATTTGTCTTTAATGCATTGTTTCTTTTTTTTTTTTTTTTTTTTACTTTCTGATTATCTAGCTGTTTGATGACTCTTTGCTGGTATCTTGATTCAAGAACATTTGAAATAATGCAAAACCGAATAATTTTCCATAAGAATTATTGTGATTTGTACATATATATATATTCTTTTTATATTTATTCATTAACACAAATTTCTACCAATAGATAAAATGCATAGAACCCTTGAAACTCCTTTAAAATGGAATTTTATGTAATAAAATATATTGCAGTAAAATTAGATGTCATTTAGTTTTCCATTTCCAAATGATTGTTAGTACTTTTTGCTGTGAATTTGATTAAATATTTTAGAATTAAATGACTTTGAAAGTCATTATGGCTTCCACAATATCTGGATGTCTTTGTGTAACATACATTAGGTTTTTACAGTATAGATCAGGTTTACTCTGAGGAATGAGACTGAGGTGAGTCTTTTTTGCTCAATAACTCACTTGAAGTGATTTCAAAATATCATAATGATATTAAAAGTAAGAAATAAGATATGTAAATAAATAAGACTACATTTATACACCAAATATTCTATAAATCAGTGCACTGTTCTTAGAATATATGGAACATATGTAGATTAAAATGTGTTCATCTTCATAAAAAAGTAAGTAAACTACAGCTTCGCACAGCATATTCTTTTTTTGTTTTAATTTATTTATTTATTATTATTATACTTTAAGTTTTAGGGTACATGTGCACAATGTGCAGGTTAGTTACATATGTATACATGTGCCATGCTGGTGCGCTGCACCCACTAACTCGTCATCTAGCATTAGGTATATCTCCCAATGCTATCCCTCCACCCTCCCCCCACCCCACAACAGTCCCCAGAGAGTGATATTCCCCTTCCTGTATCCATGTGCTCTCATTGTTCAATTCCCACCTATGAGTGAGAATATGCAGTGTTTGGTTTTTTGTTCTTGCGATAGTTTACTGAGAATGATGATTTCCAATTTCATCCATGTCTCAACAAAGGACATGAACTCATCATTTTTTATGGCTGCATAGTATTCCATGGTGTATATGTCACACAGCATATTCTATGTAGAAAGCTGAGAATGCAATAATGACAGAGGGGAAATATCTAAGACTTTTACCTCCAAGAATTACCTAGGAACCCTTCATCCTTAGATCTGTATTTAACCTTTCATAGGACAACCCCTTTATATTGAATTAAGAATGCAAAATAATTATTAGTAAAAGTCAGTATTTTGTTTAGTGTTTACTATGACACAAGAACTGAGCTTTGAATTCAGAGATAAATAAGAATGTTGTACTTCCAGGGGCTAACAATTTTCCTGGAGATAAAGAAATATGGCAACTGGTATCTGTATCACATGGTAAAATGTATAAGTCAAAGTCCTGTAGAAGCACAGAGGATAAAGTGTTACTGTGTTTGCAACTGCAATTTGAAATACAGAAGAAACAATTATTTAGACCAGTAGTCACAAATTGCAGAGCATATAGCCTGCATTGCAGGCACCCTAATGAAGCAGATGTGCTAGGTAGAAATATTAGCAGTCTTTTATCAAACGTATTGCATGGTTAATTCCTTGGTACTGCAGGTTTTTAAATATACAGTCATCATTTTAAACTTGAGACAACATACAGAATCGGATAAAATATTTGCAAACTATGCATCTTATGAATGACTGATATCCATTTTCTACAAGAAACTCAAACAACTCAACAACAACAACAAAAAAAAACAAAAAGCATAAACAAATTGACAAAGAGCATGAACAGACATTTCTTAAAAGAAGATATACAAGTGGCCAACAAACATGAAAAAATGCTCAACATTAACATCACTCATTATCAGAGACAAACAAATTAAAATCACAATGAGATACCATCTCACATGAGTAAGAACTGCTATTATTAGAAAGACAAAAAGCAACAGATTTTGGCAACAACATAGAAAATAGGGAATGCTTGTACACTGTTGGTGGGAATGTAAATTAGTACAACCTCTATTGAAAACAGTATGGAGATTTCTCAAAGAACTAAAATTAGATCTATTATTCAGTCTAGCAATTGTATACCCAATATTGGGTATACACCCAAAGGAAAAGAAATAATTATATCAAAGTGACACCTGCAATGGTATGTTTATTGCAGCACTGATCAAAGTCATGGAATCAATAGAAATGCCTACCAGTGAATGACTGGACAAAGAAAATGTGAAATATATATATTCCATGATGTGTGTGTGTGTATATATATATATATATATATATGTATGTATGTATATATATGTATATATATATGTATGTATGTATATATATGTATATATATATATATATGTATGTATGTATATATGTGTATATATATGTATATATGTGTATATGTGTATATATATACGTATATATATGTATATATGTATATATATGTGTATATATGTATATATATGTGTGTATATATGTATATATATATGTGTATATATATATATATATATGATGGAATACTATGCAGTCATACCAGAGAATGAGATCATGTCATGTCATTTGTAGCAACATGGATGAAGCTGACGGCCATTATCCTGAGTGAAATGACTCAGAAAAAATAAATGTTCACACTTATAAGTGGAAGCTATATAATAGGTACACATGGGCTTAAAGAGGAAAATAATAGCCACTGGGGACTCTATAAGGGGAAATAAGAGAAGGATGAGGGTTGGCCGGGTGTGGTGGCTCACGCTTGTAATCCCAGCACTTTGGGAGGCCAAGGCAGGTGGAACACGAGGTCAGGATATCGAGACCATTCTGGATAACATGGTGAAACCCTGTCTCTACTAAAAATACAAAAAAATTAGCCTGGCATGTTGGCAGGTGCCTGTAGTCCCAGCTACTCAGGAGGCTGAGGCAGGAGAATGGCATGAACCTGGGAGGCAGAGCTTTCAGTGAGCCGAGATCACACCACTGCACTCCAGCCTGGGCGACAGAGCAAGACTCTGTCAAAAAAAAAAAAAAAAAAGAGAAGGATGAGGGTTACAAAATAACTTATTAGGTACAATGTTCCCTGTTAGATGATAGATACATTAGAAGTCCAATCTACACCATTATGCAATATGTCTATGAAGCATACCTGTACACATCCATTTTGAATTTATTTTTAAAAAGGACATAGAGCGGTTGAATGGATTTTTTTTAAAAAAGACCCTACTGTATGCTGCCTACAAGAAACTGACTTCATCTGCAAAGACCCATGCACTGAAAATTAAGAGATGGAAAAAGATATTTCATGCAAATAGAAACCAAAAACAAGTAGGAGTAGTGATATTTAGAAAAAGCAGGTTTCAAGACAAAAAGCCTAAAAAGAGACAAAAATGGGCATTATATAACAACAAAGGGAGCTTATACAAATATGCACCCAACACTGGAGCATCAAGATATATAAAGTAAGTATTATTAGGCTAAAGAGAGCGATAGACCCAGATACAATAAATGAGGACTTTAACCCCCACTTTTAGCATTAGACCAATAATCTAGAGAGAAAATCAAAACAGAAATATTGGACATAATCGGCCCTATATACCAAGTGGGCTTACTAGATATTTACAGACCATTTCATCCAATAGCTGCAGCCTAGACATTCTATTTCTCAGCAATTGAATTATTCTCAAGAATAGACCATGTTAAGCCACAAAACAAATTTTAATAACTCAAAAAATTGAAATCATGTTAAGTATCTTCTCTGACTACAATGAAATAATAGTAAAAATCAATAATAGGATGAACTTTAGAAGCCATACAAACACATATAAATTGAATAGTATGCTCCAGAAAGAACAATGGGTCAATGAAGAAATTTTTTAAACATAAAAATTTATTTAAATAAATGAAAATGAAAACACAACATACCTAAACCTATCAATAATGACATTGAATGTAAATGGACTAAACTCAGAAGACTCTTCCAGACTTTAGCCTAGGTAAAGATATACCAAAAATAGCACTAAGAGGAAAGTTGATATCAATAAGCAATTACATCAAAAAAGTAGAAAAACTTCAAATAACTCAACAATGCATCTTAAAGAATAAAAAAATGTAGAGCAAACCAAACTCAAAATTAGTAGAAGAAAAAAGTTAACAAAGATCAGAGTAGAAAGAAAATTGAAACAAGGAAACAATACAAAAGATCAATGAAAGGAAAGTTGTTTTTCTAAGAAAATAAACAAAACTAACAAATCTCTAGCCAGATTAACTAATAAAAACAGAAGACTCAAATATATAAAATCTGGCATGGAAAGAAAAGACAATACAATTGATACCACAGAAATTTGATATCATTAAAGACTTTGTTTGGAATACTTCCAAACTCATTCTGTGAACAATAATATGCCAATAAATTTAAAAACCTTGAAGAAATAGATGAACTCCTAGACACATACAACATACTAACATCAAACCACAGAGAAACCCAAAGTATGAACAGACATAACAATTAATGAGATGGGAACTATAATAAAATTATTCCATCAAAGCCAAGAACCTGATGATTTCATTGTTGAATTCTACCAAACATTTATAGAAGCACTAATACCAACCCTACTCAAACTATTTCAAAAAATGGAGGAGGAGGGAGTACTTCCAAACTCATCCTATGAGACTAGTATTTCCCTAATACCAAAACCAAAGGCACAACAAAAAAAAGAAAACTATATGCCAATATCTCTGATAAACATGGGTACAAAAATCTTCAACAAAATATTAACAAACCTAATTCAACAACATGGTATAAAGCTTATTCATTATGACCAAGTGGAATTCATGCCAGGAATGCAAGGATGGTTTAACATATGTGATATGGATTAGATATTTGTCCCCACCCAAATTTCATGTGAAATGCAATCCCCGATGTTTGAGGTGGGGCCTCGTGGGAGGTGTTTGGATTATGGGAGTGGATTCATCATGAATGGCTTGGTCCAGCCCCTTGGTAATAAGTGAGTGCTTGCTCTGCATTCAAATGAGATCTATCAGTTTAAAAGTGTGTGGCACCTCTCACCCCACTCTATCTCTTTTGCTATTGCTTTCACTATATGATATGCTTGCTCAAGCTTCACCATAAGTAACAGCTCCTGATGCCTCCCAGAAGCCAAGCAGATGCCAGCACCACACTGCCTGTACAGCCACAGAACTGTGATCCAATCAAATCTATTTTCTTTATAAATTACCCAGTCTCAGGTATTTCTTCATGACAATGCAAGAATGGCCTGATACAACATGCAATTCAATCAATGTGATATAACTTATCAACAGAATGAAGGACAAAAACCATATGACCATTTCAAAAGTGCTGAAAAAACATTTGATAAAATTTAACATTCTTTTATCATAAAAACAATAAAAAGTGGGCACTGAGGGAATAAACCTCAACACAATAAAAGTCATATCCAACAGTATAACACTGAATGGGGAAAAACTGAAAGCTTTTCCTCCAAGATCTAGAACAAGACAAGAATGCTCACTTTAACTCCTATTTAACATAGTACTTGTATTAGTCTATTCTCACATTGCTATAAAGAAATATCTGAGACTGGGTAACTTATAAAGAAAAGTTTAATTGGCTCACGGTTCTTCAGGCTGTACAGGAAGCATAGCAGCTTCTGTTTCTGGAGTGGCCTCAACAAGCTTTCAATCTTGGCGGAAGGCAAAGGGAGAATAAATTATCTCACATGGTGGGAGCAGGAGCAAGGAAAGAGGAGGTGCTACCCACTTTTTAACAACCAGATCTTGGGAGATGTCACTCACTATCATGAGAACAGAACCAAGTAGATGGTGCTAAAACAGTCATGAAGGATCCACCCCATGATCCAATCACCTCCCACCAGGCTGTGCCTCCAACATTTGGGATTATAATATGACAAGAGATTTGAGTGAGGACACAGATCCAAACCATATTGTTATTCCCCTCCCCACCCATATATCATGTCCTTCTCACATTGCAAAATACAATCATGGCTTCGCAATAGTCTTGCAAAGTCTTGACTCTTGTTCAGTATTAACTCATAACTTCAAATTCCCAAATCTCATCTGAGACAAAGCAAGTTCCTTCCATCTATGACCTTGTAAAATCAAAAACAAGTTAGTTACTTTCAAGATACATATCTGACCATATTTTTCCTTTAGCCCTGATCCAAATGAACTGGTAGGAGTAACCATTGATAGAGCCACTGATGACATGTGAGTTATAAAAGATGGACACACAAACACACACAGACACAAAAAAGTGGCAGAGAAAGAGATGGAGATTAGTGGGATTTACTCTCAGGAGTGTTCATGCCAACACAGAGTGGTTTTTTGACACAGTTTCTTAATCTTCTTGCTGTAGCACATATAGATAAATTTCCACACTTTTATAATTGTTTCAGAAAAAAGAGAAACAGACTATAGAGGGAGGCTTCCTCTTGTTAGTATCTTGTCACCCTTAGTTAGTAGCAGACAAATGCCTAGGAAACTCAGATTTTCTGTCTATGATACACACTAGAGTGGGCCAGGGGAGGAGAGAATCCTACTTGGCACAAGGAGGAGGCAGGAGTAGTCAGGAAACTGTGAAGCCCTCAGCAGAAAGGAACAGATCTAAGAGCTTTGGAGGTGTTCTCCATCTTATAGAACTCTCCCATCATGGAGGGTACTGCTCCAAACCTCAAATCACCATCATATTGGATTGCACCCTTGTGTCAGATCTCTAGTTACTTGACCCTATTTGTGGGTCAGGAGAGACACACCACCATGCTGGGTGAAAATAAGGAGGTAATGGAGGGCCTTCAAAGCAGAACATTAAATGGAATAAGAGGGATGACTACCTACACACTGAAGCTGAATTTTAAATTACTGCCACTACAAAGGCTGTCACACATTGGGACTAAGGTCATAATAAAGAGGTTTACTTAAACCAGGAAGCATTACTATTTTCACCAGCCTAAGATATTAGTAGCCATTATATAAATCCGCATTTCTAATAAAAACAGTGATATTCCAGATTCAAACAGTGATATACATGAATAGTTAAAAAATAACCAGTTTATTTCTAGAGTAATGGAAGCTAGTTTTTTCAAAAAAGTAAATTTAGAATTACGTCTCCTGTCTGACTGTATTATTTTACAATCTTCTAGTCCACACCGAAGTGAATTAACAGGAGCAACTCAGGAGACATGTATCAATGAGAGGTGTTATAAATAAGTAAATAAAGACACATGTATGCATAAGTGTGCATAAAACTATACACACACAGTCACATAAACAAATATATCCATCCATATATACATACATACATATACACTTCTCTCAACACATGTCCACAAAAAAACCCATGCACACAATGGAAACAAAAAACAAGGAGACAGATGGAAATTTGTGGAATTTACTCTCAGGAGCCTGCATGGTCATACGGAGTGTTTTTAACAGGGTTTCCAATTCTTCTCATTGTAGCATTTGTAGGTAAATTTGATTCCTTTTTTGATGAAGTTGTATAAAGAGGAGCAAGTCATAGGAGAGTTACTTCTTCCTGTTAGTTTTTGTCACCCTTAGTTCTTAGTAAGGAGTTTTTTAAGGAACTCAGATTTCTGGAGTTTGAGACCTTTACTAGAGTGGCCCAGGGGAGGAAAGGAGGACATGGAGGAGATAGCAGCTGACAAGGAGCAGTGACGCCCTGGGCAGAAAATAATGAACCTAATGGCATGTGGATTTGTACCTTATCCTCCAGAGTCCTGTTGACATGTGAGGTTGGTGCCCATATTCAGACTGATACAAAGGTGTATAGGCAATGGGTAAATACTCTCATTCCAAAAGGGAGAAATAGGCCAAAAAAAAAAGGGGGGTGACAGTCCTTACACATGTCTGAAACCCAACAAGGCGGTAATTAAATCTTAAAGCTCCAAAATAATCTCCTTTGACTTTATTTTCCACATCCAGGGCTCACTGGTACAAGGGGTGGGTTCCCAAGGCCTTGGGCATCTCAGCCCCTGTGGCTTTATGGGGTCCAGTTCATGTAGCTGCTCTCATGGGCTGGCATTGTCTGTGGCTATTTTATGTTGAGATTGAAAGCTGCCAGTAGTTCTACCATTCTGGGGTCTGGAAGATGGTGGCCCTTTTCTCATAGCTCCACTAAGAAGTACCCCAGTGGGGACTCTGTGTGGGGCCTCCAACCCCACATTTCCCCTCCACACCGCTCTAGTAGAGATTCTCCATGAGGGCTCCACTCCAGCAGCAGGCTTCTCTCTGGACATCCAGGCTTTTCTATAGATTTGCTGAAATCTAGGCAGAGGCTCCCAAGCCTCAACTCTTGGACTCTGTGTATTCACATGCTTAACACTGTGTGGAAGCCACCAAGGAATATGGCTTTCACCTTTTGACGCAGTGGCCTGAGCTATATCTGAGCCTTTTGGAGTCACAGCTGGACCTGGAGTGGCTGGGATGCAGGGAGAGTGTCCTGAGGCTGCTCAGCACATCAAGGCCATTGGCATGGCCCAGGAAACATTCAGTCCTCCTAGACCTCCAGGACTGTGATGGAATGGGCTGCCACAAGGTCTCTGAAATGCCTTCAAGGCTTGTTCCCCATAGTCTTGGCTGTTAGCATTTGGCTCCTTTTAATTTATGCAACTTTCTGCAGCCTGCTTGAATTTCTCCACTGTAAATGGGCTTTTCTTTTTTACCACATGACCAGGCTGCAAATTTCCCAAACTTTACACTCTGCTTCCCCTTTAAATGTAAGTTCCAATTTTCGGTGATTTCTTTGCTCACACATATAAATATAGGTGGTTAAAAGTAGAATGGCTACTTGCCTTGCTGCTTAGAAATTTCTTCACCAGATACCCGAAATCATCACTCTCAAGTTCAAAGTTTCACAAATCCCTAAAGCAGGGGCACAATGCTGCCAGGTTCTTTGCTAATGCATAACAGAAGTGACCTTAGCTCCAGTTCCCAAAAAGTTCCCCATCTCCATCTGAAACCTCATCAGCCTGTTTTTCTTTGTCCATTTCACTATCAGCATTTGGGTCACAGCTATTTAACCAGTTTCTAGAAAGTTCCAAACTTTCTCTTATCAGCCTGTCTTCTTCTGAGCCCTCCCAACTCTTCCAACCTCTGCCTTTACCCTGTTCCAAAGCTGCTTCCACATTTTCAAGTATCTTTACCTGAAATCTAAAGATACCTGAGGAGCAGGTGTCTCTGAAATCTCATTCTTTGAAACCTAGGCAGAGGCTCCCAAGCCTCAACTCTTGGACTCTGTGTACCTGCATGCTTAATAGTTTGTGGAAGCCACCAAGGACCAAGTGAGAAGCAATGCCTCACTCCTTGGTACCAATTTTCTGGATTAGTTCATTCTCACATTGCTATAAAGAAATATCTGAGACTGGGTAGTTTATTTAAAAAGAGGTTTAATGATGTCATTGTTCTGCAGGCTGTACAGGAAGCATAGTGGCTTACATCTCTGGGGAGGCATCAGGAAGCTTCCAATCATGGCAAAAGGCAAAATGAGAGTGAGGTGTCTGACATGGTGGGAGCAGAAGCAAGAGAGAGAGAGGGGCAAGCAAGGTGCTGTATGCTTAAATAATCAGATCTCATGAGAACTCTATTAGGAGAATATCACCAAGTGGATGGTGCTAAATAATTTATGAGGAATCCACCCCCACGATTGAATCACCATCTGCCAGGTCCCAGCTCCAACACTGGGGATTACAATTTGACATAAGATTTGGGTGGGTGACACCGATCCAAACCATACCAGTACTGGATGTTCTAGTTAGAGCATTAGACAAAAGAAAGAAATAACTGACATCTAAACTGGAATAGAAGTCAAATTATTTTGTTTTAGACAATGTGATCTTGTATCAATACAAAACATAAGAACTTCAGCAAAACAGAAAGCAAAAACACAATTAGATCTGAAAAAGAGTTTTAGTAAAGTTGCAGAATACAAAAATTAACCTACAAAAATCAGTAGAATTCTGTATTTCAGTAGTGAGCAATCTTAAAAAAAATCAAGAAAGTAATCCTATTTACAACAGCTACAAATAAAATTAAATACCTAGGAATCAACTTTACCAAAGCAGTAAACAATTTCTACAATAAAAACTATAAAACACTATCAAAAGTAATTGAAGAGGACAGAAAAAAATAAAATATATTCCATGTTCTTTGATTGGATGGATCAATATTGTTAAAATGTGCATACTATCCAAAACAATTTACAGGTTTATTGCAGTTCCTATCGAAATTCCAGTGATTTTCTTCACAGAAATAGAAAAAATAATTATAAAATTTTTGTGGAACCACAATAGACTCAGAATAGCCAAAACCATTCTGAGCAAAAAGAAACACCGAAGGAATCACGTTACCTGACTTCAAACATACTACAGGGCTGCAGAAACAAAAACAGCATGGTAGTGAAATAAAAACAGACACATAGACCAAGGGAACTGCATAGAGAATCCATAAATAAATCCACACATCTACAATGAACCCATTTTTGACAAAGGCACCAAGAACATACAATGAAGAAAGAATAGTCTCTTAAACAAATGGTGCTTTGAAAACTGGAGATAGACAGGATAGATAGATTAGGTAGATAGATAGATGGATGGATAGATAGATAGATAGAGAGAGAGATGTATTTATTTTCCCTGTAAACACACACAAACACATGTGCAGAAAAATAAAACTAGAATCTTGTTTCTCATCATATAAAAAAAATCAAATCCAAATGAATTAAACTCTTAAATCTAAGACCTGAAACTATAAAACTACTGAAAGAAAACTCTGGAGAAACTCTGCAGGACATTGGTCTGTGTAAAGATCTTTTGAGTAATACCTCAAAAGCATAGGCAACAAAAGCACAGACAAGTAGAATCACATCAAGCTAAAAATCTTCTTCAGAGCAAAGGAAACAATCAACTAATGCATAGGCAACTCACAGAATGAGAAAATATTTGCCTACTACCCATCTGACAAGGGATTTTTAATCAGAATAAATGAGAAGTCCAAACAACTCAATAGAAAAAAATCAAATAATCTGATTTAAAAATTGGCAAGTGATCTGAATAGACATTTCTTAAAAGAAGACATACAAATGGCCCAATAGGTATGTAAAAAATGCTCAACATCATTAATTATCAGAGAAACGGACATCAAAACTATAATGAGCTATCATCTCAAACCAATTAAAATTGACTTTATCCAAAAGACAGGCGATAACAAGTGCTAGTGAGGTTGTAGACAAAGGAAACCCTTGTACATTGTTGGCGGGAATGTAAATTATTACATACACTTTAGGTATGGAAATAAAAAAGACAAAAAAGGAAACAAAAAAAGAGAATGGCATGGAGATTCCTTATAAACTAAAAGTAGAACTACCATTTTACCCAGCAAACCCACTACTAGGTATAAATGCAAATAAAGGGAATCAGTATATTAAAGAAATATCTGCACTTCCACGTTTATTGTAACATTTTTCACAATAGCCAAGATTTGGAAAAAACTTCAGTGTTCATCAGTAGATGAATGAATAAAGATAGCATGGCATATATACATAATGGGATATTATTCAGCCATAAATAAATGAAATTCTGTCATTTCTAAAAACACAAATAAAACTGGAGAACATTACGTTAAGTAAAATAAGCCAGGCACATATAATTTTTTATGTTTTCCCTCTTATATGAGAGCTAAAATTTGAAACAATTAAACTCATGGAGGTAGTAGAATAATGATTACCAGAGGCTGGGAAGGGTAGTTGGGCAGATGACTAATAGGTGCAAAATATAGTTAGATAGAATGAATAACATCTAGTAATTTATAGCACAACAGGGTTCATATAGTCAATAACTGTTTATTGTATATTTTAATATTGGTTAAAGAATGAAATTGTATTACTAACACAAAGAAATACTAAATGCTTGAGTTGCAAGATACTCTAATTACCCCGATGTAATTATTACACATTGTATACCTGCATCAAAGCATCACATGTACCCCACAAATATATCTAACTATTAATATTTTGTACCCATAATAACTAAAAATGTAAAAAACCATAAAGGCAGAAATAAATGACATGTAGATTAAAAGAAAAAAATTACAATTATATTTACCCTAAATTTTCTGACTCATATATCCAAAAAAAGTCTTAAGTAAACTACAAAAGAAATCTACTAAAAGTATTAATTTATCTTATAAAAGTCATGGGTTACAAGGTAATATGAAAATAAAATTTAAATCTATCTAATACCAGTAACCTTGTATTTGAAACTAAAATAATCCAACTTCTATTGAATAATGTAATGGCTGTCCTAGTCATTGCAATAAAGTAAGAAAAAGATATAAAAAGGATACAGAAAAAAATCTGAAAGTACCTATTTATAAGTACCACAGTCATCCATGAAAAATATCCTAAGGTAACTATGAAAAGATACTTGAGATAATAAGTGAGCTTAGTAAGTTTGTGGAAAACAAGGTCAGCATTACACAAAACTGCATATTTGTATGTCTATATGCTACCAATAAACATTTGGGAAGTGAAATTTAAAAATATCTCCTTTGCAATAGCATCAAAATATAAAATATTTAGATTGTGTGGTATTTGTGTAAATTAGACATATAAATCAGTGTAACTTCATAGAATCCATAAATAAAATCTATTAATATATGGTTAATTTATTTATAGCAAAGATTCTGAGAAAATTAAATAGGAAAATAGTACACTTTAAATACAATCTTGCTGGGACGACTGGATAATCAAATAGAAAAAAATACAGCCATGCATCTCTTAATGATGGGGATATATTCTGAAAAATGCATCATTAAGCAGTTTAGTTCTCATGCAAACAATATAGAGTGTACTTGCACAAACCTATTAATTCATGTTATAGACTACTACACATCTAGGCTGTACAGTATGGCCTATTGCTCCTATGCTACAAATTTGTACAGCATGTTACTGCATTAAATACTGTAGGCAATTTTAACACAGTGTTTAAGTATTTGCATATCTAAACATATCTAAGCATAGAAAAAGTACAGTAAGAATATATTATAAATCTTGTGAGACTACCATCATGTATATGATGAGTTGTTGACTAAAATGTCATTATGTTTTGCATGACTATGCATGAGTGTCACTCATCTTCTAGTCATACTCAGTGATAAACAGAAACCTATGCAATATTGATTTATCTGATATTATAGGTGAATCTCAAATGTATTTTGATGAACCAAAGAAATGAGAAACTAGCGTAATATAGATTTTTATTTATATGAAACTCTACAAAAGATAGATGTAAACTATAGTGAGTTAAGGCAGATTAGGGAGTGTTTGTGGTTTGAGTCAGGCCCTTAAGTTGGATGGATACAAAGGAGCTTTTGGCATGATGACAATTTTTTATATTTTTTATGCTAATTTATAATTGTTTCAGTATTTGAAACAATATAATATGTAAAATGATTATATTGTTGTAATATATAGTAAACATTAATAAAGCTGATTACAAATTGAAGGCATTTAGATAAGCATATTCTATAGCCTATAAGTAAAACAATAAAGGGGTAAGTGTATATGTGCATGTGTTTGTTTATAAAATTTGAGCACCTGTTAGCAAACAAGTATTATTGAATAATTCAAGAAAACAAAGAAAGATGCACATAAAAATGTTAAATTTATTTATGGCAATAAAGAATTAATATTTTATTATCCAATGCACATGCTAAAATTAATTTAATGAAGTAAAAATAAATCTAGATGTTATTTAATTATTTATGGATACATTGTCTGAATTACTTTCACTCCAAAAATGTGAATATAATCCCCATTAATTCTTCAACTGAATGCCTACTAAAAAATAACAGAGACTGGAAAAACAATTATAACAAGTAATACTCAGAACAATACTAAGACTCACATAGAGTTGAGAATATTTTATTTTATTATTTAACAGACAAGATGGAAAAACTCCTAACAAATAGGCGTCACATTATTTAACAGACAAGATGGAAAAACTCCTAACAAATAGGCATCACATAGAGTTCTCAGAATAGTATTTAAAATATAAAAGAATAAAATTAACACCAAAAATCTCTTTTGGATCTAACAAAGCTTAAAATAAAGCCCTGAAGGAAAAAACAAACAAAAAAATTATTTCCAATGATTGACCTTAGTCTAAAATCCAAAGTGTAGAACCTAAAAACAATATATATTACCATGACTATGGTCAAAAAAAGAAAAAAAAAAACAAAAAAAACTAGACACGAAAAGAATTCTAGAAATATTGCTTAGTATAAGAGAAAAAAATAGGTAATAGAATTAGACCTGGAAATGACAAAGAAGATAGAATGGGTGGTCAAGGGCATTAACAAATGGTCTTATCAATATACTCATGTTGGAGACTATAGAGAAAACCATGAAAAGCAGAGAAAGAGAAGGTTAAAAACACACACATAATAAACTATAATTGAAACATATAATATCTGAGATTAAAAAATACAATAGACATATTAACAGAATATTAGACATTGTAGACAAATACATAAATTTGAAAACACAGAAATTAAATTATTCTAAATGAAACATATATAAATAAAAGACTAAAAAAATTAAGCACAGCATTAATAAGCTCTAGAAAAACACCAAGTTGCTTACTATTTACCTGATTTGAGCCTCAAAAGGAGAGAAACCATTTGTGGTAGAGAGGGCTAGAAATATATTTAGTAGAGTAATGACTGACAACTTTTAAAATGTTGTGAAAAGTATAAATCCAAAAAGCCCATGTAAATAAAGCATCATAAATAAAACCACATAGGTACATAATAAACAAATTATTTAAACCAGTATAAAGCAGCCACATAATGAAAAGACATATTACTACAGGAACAATTTTAAGAATGACAACAGCCTTTTATTATACAGTGAAATTCAGAATATATTGAAATAATTATTTACTTACCTGTGTATCATTTATATGGAATTCTATGCACAACAAAATATCATACAAAAATAATGATGAAATAACTCCAGATATACAAAAACAAACAATTCATTGTCAATGTTAGAAACAAAATGCTTGTTCCTCAGTGCCACAAAGAAATAGCAAAGAATATAAATATAATTTTCTCAGCAAGGCAATTTTCACTTCTATAGAAGGGTGCAACTTACGAATGGAGTAATGGCAAGAGCACACCTGAACAAGGGAGGGGGAGGGGTTCTTATTCCTGATGCAGGTAGTCCCTACTGCTGTGTGGTTCCCATATTGGCTAGGGTTGGATCACACAGTCTAAGCTAATTCTGAATGGCTATTTTAAAGAGAGCAGGGGTATGAGCCAGAGAGGCGGGGTGAGTAGTTTGGCAGGAAGGACGGTTAGGAACAGGGAACTAAAGGTGACTTAGGTCAGAGAAGGTGACCGGGGGTGACTCAGGTCAAAGCAGGTGACCGGGATGAGTCAGGGCAGAGTAGGTGACCAGGGGAACAGATGTGAACTACTGATTAAAACTGGTTGAAAAAGTTGTTTACTGAAACTACGAGGAAGTTAAACTTTAAAATGGAGGACAAAGAACTGAACATACTGACATACTGATTCTTTGAAGAGAAATCTAGAACTCACCGTATCCAATTGTCAACATACCAGTACTAAAAGAAACACCAAATTATTAGATAAATAGAAAATAGGGTCCAGATTTATATCTATACAAATTAATCAACAGCAACTAAAATGATAAATATGTGGGTAAAAGTAATCTGCTTTTTAAAAATTTAAACTCTCATGTAAAGACATTTAGAATAAAATTAAGAAGCTTCCAGCTTCAGAGAACACAGAGTGAGTCCACAGACCTCTCCCCTACTAATAATTACAAAGAGTAAACCCTGAACAAAATGTACAAAAGACTAGAAAGACTGTGAAAGGAGGGAAAGAATACAGCTTGACTAGTGACTTCAGTACTTGAGGGCTTTCTTGACATTCTTTTACATTTGTATGTTGGTACATTTTTACTTCTTATATATCCCAGCCTGGGCACTACAACAGTTACAAATGACTTCCTAGAAACAGCAACAGATTCAGAAAAAACAACCAACAATACAAACAAGAAATTACTTCATTCTCTAACCAAAGTACAGGGATTGGGAGGCCCAGGAGAACAAAACACTTCTGACAATATTTGCTCTATATGCTTCCCATTTTCCACAGGGCACTGCTGTCATGGTTACTGTAAGACAGAATCCTGCTGCCAATTCCTGCCCTGCACTAATGAATAAAGGTAGTGCTCCCCCATTACCAGATAGTGTTGCAAGTATTCTGAGATGAAGCTCCAACAACCACCTGAAGTAAACAACTTCAAACAGGGACCACACCCTAGCCTCTTTCAAACAGAGTGGGAATAAGATTACAGAAAGGACAGAGGAAAGAAACTTTAAATTTACTTTTGAAATTCTTTGCATTGCTATTCTAGTCTTCCCAGCAGTGTGCTACTCAGGTGTTAATAGAACACCTGAGAAGTGAGCCACACTGTCATTCAATTCTCAGAGATGTTTCTATGTAGTTTCTGGTCATTTTAATGCCTGGGCCACATGAGAAGTTGACTAGGACTTCACACACAGATTTAAACTTGAGCATTGTCAACAAATTAGGATGGGTGTGCATAATGAACAAATAAATTATACTCTTATACTTAAAACACTTCCATAAAAACATGAAACAAATAATAATATTTAAGTAGCCCACAAGAGGAAATGAAAGGGAAAATAGAAAGAAAATCTCTGAAAACAAACAAAGAAATTGATAAAATGGCATATATAAAGCTTATAGCAATAATTACATTAAATATAAAAATATAAATAATTACATTAAATATAAAAAGAAAAGAGATTTTCCTAATGGAAGAAAAACGTGACCCACTATATGCTGCCTACAAGAAATTAATTTCAAATAGATTCAAAGTAAAAACAGATGAAATTAATGGTGTAAGATAGATGATAAATATAAGGCATATATAAATAAAAGAAAAGCTTGAGTGACTTAATATCAGGCAGTATATTTTACAGACACACCTTAAAGTTTTATTAGGGTAACATCATTTTTATTTTGAAAACTCCCATTAATTTGAGTCACTCTAAGGAAACCTTTTGATTTTTAAATTTTAAATCAATGAAACTTGTCTTTACGTTTTAGTTAAAAAGGACCAGACAAATCACTTAAAGTAAGTATTATCTTGTTAGAGGATAAACAATTGGCATTTTCCATAATACTGATATTAACTTTAGGGGAACATTCAAGAAAACTGCATATTATTCTTATCTGCACAGTAGAAAATGATCTATGGGTATTGAGGCAATATTTAGTTGAAATTTTGAATTCTCTAGGAAATTTCCAGATATATTCCAATATATATTCCATTAAGTGGTTTCTCTTGAAAAAACATAAGCATATTAGCAACATATAAATTTCTTGTTAATTAAAATTCAAATTGATTGAATAAAATGTCAGATTTCCTATTTGACAGCACTTTCTCAGCATATTTCACTATTATATATAGTATTACTATAATTTGTGTAATATATACATTGCAGTGTATCTATCATTATCATAGGTTCTAATGTCCTATCCCAGTGTAATTTATAACAGTAAAGTTCTTTTCACTTTATAGGTATCTAACATGCTTTAAATTTAGAAATCATATGATTATATAATACATTTAAAAGGCAAGGCAATCATTTGACCTACTTTTTATTGTAGACATCACTCCATAAGAATTTTTATCCTGGTAATCATAAACATGAAGTCACACTTCTGTCTTTATTCAGAATCCCTGAAACTTGTTACAACCTGATGGGTTCTTCTTGCCTACTGTACAGAAGGTGACTATATACAAAGACAGCAGATATTGCAGTAGAGAAAGAGATTAATAATCATAGGGCCAGCCAAGTGAGATGAGAGAGAGTTTTCAAATCCCAAGAATTCAGTGGCTAGGTTTTTTCAAAGATGGATTGGTTGACAGGGCGGCAAGGGAATAGGAAATCCTGACTGGTTGGGTTGGGGATGAAATCACAGGGGTGTTGAAACTGTCTTCTTGCATTGAGTCAGTTCCTGAGTTGGGGGTCACAGAATGAGTTGAGTCAGTTTCTTGGAATGGGTTTCCTGTTAAGGTGGCATCAGTTGTTCCACCAGAATAAAAAGTCTGAAAAATATCTCAAACCCCAGTCTTAGGTTTTACAATAGCGATATTATAAATATGGACAACTAGGAAAGTTATAAATTTTATGACCTCTGGCTACATGACTCCTAAGCAGAAAGCAAGTTAGGAACAATGACTAGTTATTATTTATGTATGCCTAGGCCTTACCAGAATTCAGGCGCCTACTAAAATTCGAACCTTATGGTCTTTCATTAGTTTTACAAAGGTAAGTTTGGTCCCATAACAAAGGGGGGGATAGTTTTGGGAAGAGATCATTATAGTTCTTGCTTTAAAGTTAAACTACAAACAAAATTTCTCTGATAGTTAGCTTGTCTTATATGCAGGATGGGCAAAGGCAGTTGGCCTGTGAGGTTAGAAGCAAGATGGAGTCAGCCATGTTAGATTTCTCTCACTGTTACAATTTTGCAAAAGTAGTTTGAAAGTCATCATTAATTGATTTATCAAGAAATGAGAAAACACAGAATTGGATGATTGGATCCAGAGAATGGATCTTGTACAAATCTATTAAATCCTATGCAATCTCTCTGATGAAGTAGCTCATTCACATGAGTTTGTGAGAGATGACTTCTAAGATAATGGTTCTGAGGTCTTAGTATACATTAGAATCTCCTTAGAGGCTTTTACATATCAAGATGCAAAGACTTTTATATCAGATGTCTTATTTAGTGAATATGTGATAAGAACTAAGAATATGAAATTTCAAAAATCTAATTGCTAAAAATTACTTTTATAAAAATGGCATAGATGATACTTTAGAACTTTAACATTATATTATACATATATATTTTTAATATCACAATAAAGATTAGTGAATCAATGATGATCCTGTATGGGTATACATCATGAGTTGGAAATGTTATAGCTGCTAGCAACCTTCTCTGTAAATACAAATATAAACAAAGTAGTGATTTATTTCTGTGTTTGAGAGAGATTTGAGGAAGACATAATAGCAACTTGCCCTCCTATTTGCTGTCAATTATCTTTAAATGTGACTTTCATCTTCTGATAAGGGGTTGATATCCAAAATAGATAAAAACTCAAACAACTCAATAGAAAAAAAAATAATTCAAATATGGGAAAAGGACCTGAATACAAATTTATCAAAAGAATATATGCATGTGGCCAAAAGATAGATAAAATAATGCTCAACATCACTAATCATTGGGAAATGCAAATGTAAACCATAAGAAGATATCAACTCATACCTAATAGAATGACTATCATCTGAAAGACAAAAAATAACAAGTGTTTGTGAGGATGGGGAGAAAACAGAACACTTATACACTGTTGATGGGAATGTAAATTAGTGCAACCATTATTTTTAAAAAAATGAAGATTTCTCAAAAAATTAAAAATAGAACTACCATGTGATACAGAAATTTGACTTCTGAGTATTTATCCAAAAAATTGAAATAAATATGTCAAAGAGACATCTATAATCTCATGTTCAATGCAGCATTACTCACAATAGCCAAAATTTGGAAGCAAACTATGCCTCCATCAACAGATAAATAAATTTTTTAAAATGTAGTATATTTACACAATTGAATACTAGTCAGCTGTTGGGAAAAAGCTGAGTGTTGGGAGAAGCTGAGGCAGGACTTGCATGTCTGACATAATGTAAAAGAGTCTTGGAATATGTCCGGGGTCCCAGGTCTAAAACCCCTTGTGGTCTTTGGAACATCAAGCTCTGTGCTAAAGGGTGGAAGGCTACCCTGACACACCATAATCTAAGCCCAGGGCATAAAATCCCTCATAGCTTGGATAGAATCCAGGGCTCATGGTTCTGGAATGTGACTAGACTTGCTGGCTCCTTGCTCCTTGCTCTCCAGGATCGATTGTATCTTGAGTTAAAAGAACCTGCTTTCCATTATCTCAAGTAGAAGAGCAAATGCTAAACCATCACAGCTGTAAATCATGTGCTTAATGCAATGCACCCTTTTGACCTCCACATTCTCACCACCTGTTTCTTTGTTGGATTACCAATAAATAGCGTGGGCTCCTAGAGCTCAGGGCCTTTGCAGCCTCCACAATCATGATGGTCCCCTGGCCTCACTTCTCTCTCTCTGTCTTTTCTCAATTCTTTGACTCCACCAGACTTCGTTGCCCCCACGACCTAGTGTTGAGTCTGATCACCCCAACAGTCAGCCTTAAAAAAAGAAAACATGAGCTTATCACCTTTTTAGTCAATTCAGGGGCTGCTCACTCTGTTTGTTTCCCCTCATCTAATGTTTCTCCTCCTCAGAGGAATTTTTAGTTTCCAGGGTAAAAGGGGAAGGAGAGGGGAGAACAGTGTAATGAGACTGACAGAGGCAGGGAAAGACAAGCAGAAAGGAAAAAGAGAGAGAGAGAGACAGACAGAAGAGAGAGAGAGAAAGGAAAAAGAGAGAGGGTAAAGAGGGAGAAAGGAAAGAGAGAGAGGAAGAGACAGAAAAGAGGAAGTCAACAAGACAGAGAGACATGAAGTCAGAGAAAGAAAGAGAAAGAGAGAAGTAGTAAAGAAAAAAAAGTGTACCCTATTCCTTTAAAAGCCAGGGTAAATTTTAAACCTATAATTGATAATTGAAGGTCTTGTCTGTGACCCTATAACACTCCAATACCACCTTGTTGTCAGTGTAAACAAGGGTGTAGCCCCAAAGCTCTTAGGCCACTGACAACCTGTACCCTTACTATCAAAAATCCTTAACCCAGTAACCTGCAGATGACCCAAGTACATTCAATCTGTAGCAACAACTGCTTTGCTAACAGAAGAAAGTATGAGGCTATTCTGTTAAAAAAAAAAATGATTCAACATTAACCAATAAAAATTCCCTTAACCCAGCAGGTTTCCTAACAGGGGATCTAAATCTTAATTACTATACAAAGGTTGGACCAGACCTAGGAGGAACTCCCTTCAGGATAGGACAATAGATGGTTCCTCCCGGGTGATTGAGGGGAAAAAGACACAATGGGTATTCAGTAAGTGATAAGGAAACTCTTGAAGAAGCAGAGTTAGGAAAATTGCCTGATAACTGGTCTGCTCAAACGTGCGAGCTATGTTCACTCAGCCAAGCTTTAAAGTACTTACAGAACCAGGAAGAAACCATCTATACCAATTCTAAGTTAATTTGGACTAAACAAGGTCTTATTAGTAGTAAAGAAAAATTGAAATCCAAAACTTACAAGGTTTTCAACAAAACTAAAGTTTGCTAAAAGTTAACAGTGTAACACGTATTATCCTAACTTCTAATCTCGTGGCCTTAGACAGTCTAGTCCACAGACATGAAGGAAGTTCAGTTTGGAAAAGAATGGTAATTATCTTGGAAAAAAAAGGGGGGGGCAGAATTTAGATAAAAAGGGATGTTATATGGTAAATTCTTGTCCTAAAATAAATTAACTCGTTGTTTTAAAAAAGGGACGTTTGCAACAAGTCAGAAAGTTGAGGCATGTCGAAGAATTGTCTGTGAAAGTCGTGAAAAAAAAGTTATAAAAGGAAATTTATGCAAGAAATGTTGTATAATTTAAAAGTAATTAGGCATCCTGAAGGTAAAACTATTGAAGAAACAGTTTATGTGCAAGATGTGTAAGGAAAGTAAAATATAGTTTTGGTAAAAGGATTATAAGGAGGCATATGTGGATTTTTACATACATTAAAAGGTTAAAATATATATTTTGTTTTAAAGTTTTAAGCAAGTTTTAAAACGTTAATTGTGAAGGAAATTCTGTGTGTAAACATATTGGCTACATTTAAAGGGGTATCATCCAGTTTTTCTGCGAACTGAACGTTAAAAGCACAACAGATTTTTCTTAAAGCACTAATCTTCTCTTTAATGAAAATTATAAAAGGTTAAAAAAAGTCTATAAAAATCTTACCTTATGGTCAGACATTAAAAATTGGATAAATATATCTACAAGGTTTTATTAAAATTAAGTTTAACATTAATGACCCACTAATATAAAGGTGAAATTTAGCTTATTTCGTATAAAAATCATACAAGAAGCATTGTCAAATATAAAATGGTGTTTGGCTTTCTTTGGTCTAAAAACTAATAATAATAGGTTCTAAAGGAAATTTCTCAGTAAGAAGGCACCAAGGACTATAAAGTTCACTGCTGATGTCCCCACATTTAAAACAAAAGGTCAATTTCTTAGAAATCATATACTTGGTTTATCCTCCACTTTCCTTTCCCTCAAAACTAAAAGTCTTTTAGCACAGGTACTACCACTTGATTTTCTGGTAAACCAGCACCAGCCTAAGGATCATGTTCTCATCAAAGGGTGAAAAGAAGGAAAACTCGAGCCAGCCTGAGAAGGACCCTACCTTGTGCTGCTAACCACTGAGACTGCTGTTTATACAGGGGAAGGGGAGGGACTCATCACACCCAAGTCAAGAAAGTGCCACCCCCTCCAGAGTCGTGGGTCATAGTCCCAGGGGAAAATCCTACCAAACTAAAGCTAAGAAAAATTTAACTCTTTCACCGATTCTATTACTTTCTTCTTTCCTTGCTCTATTGCTGACCACCTAGTTATTAACATAACCAAGTCAATTTTGCCTCAAACTATTGCATTTAATGGTTGCCTTGTTACACCCTGTAGGGACTTGCCAAGTCAAAGACAGCTCTCTACTTCAGAAAAGCCCCTCTGTCCCTCCTGACTCTCCTCAGACTGGGCATTAGTGAATTGGGACCATTTAACCAGGGAGATTTCGATAAAGACCCCAGTGTCAGCCAGGAGTCTTGGCACCCCCGAAGTAGAGCTTTTATGCTGTAATTGGTCCAACGTTCTGTGGACCACTAAAGGGCAAGAATGGACTTCCCCAACCAGTTTTTGTAATTTCCTAAAACCATTCATTCATTTTACTAAAGGGACAGCCATCCCCACTAACTGTCAGCTAAACCAGTGTAATTCTACACAGGTTATTATCTCAAACCCTCGAAGTTCTTCCCCTTTTCTAAGGCAGTTCCCTTCTTTAAGCCAGCTTTATGGTGTAGGGGCTGAGGTTTCAGGGACAAACCCTATTAGATGCTTTGAAATGCATTTCTTTGATTCCCCCACCAGCTGCAACTTCCTCTATGCCTTCTTCCAAAACCTCTCACAATGAAACAATTGCTCCTCATCCATCTAACGACAAGACCAAGATAAATATCTTAGAAGTTAAAGACTTAAAACAAACCTTTGGCAATTAAGACAGGACACCAAGATGCAAGCGCCTGGTTGGAATGGATCAAATATTCCATCTGCATGTTAAACAAAAGCAATTGTTATGCTTGTGCGCATGGCAGGCCAGAGGCCCAGATAGTCCCCTTTCCACTAGGGTTGTCCTCCAGTCGATTGGGGGTGGATTGCATGGTAACTGTTTTCCAGGATTCTACAGCCTGGGGTAACAAGTCGTGCCACACTCTCTGTCTGCTATATCTTGAAGTCCGGCACCCTGCGGGTCAGCCCCTGAGGGCCATCCAGCTTCTGTCTCCCGACACTAAGTTCACTTCGTATCTCTCTCATGACAGGGAGGAAACTTAGCATTCCTTGGAGACCTGAAGGGATGCAGTGAGCTTAAGAATTTTCTAGATCTTATCAATCAGTCAGCCCTTGTTCATCCCTGAGTGGATGTGTGGTGGTATTGTGGTGGACCTTTACTGGACACTCTGCCAAATAACTGGCGTGGCACTTGTGTTTTAGTCCAATTGGCTATCCCTTGCCTCTCACCCTGGCATTTCATCAACCAGAGGAAGGAAAAATAAGACATCATAAAGTGAGAGAAGCCCCTTATGGGTCTTTCGACTCTCATCTCTATTTAGACGCAATTGGAGTCCCACGGGGAATACCATATCAATTTAAAGCCCAAAATCAAATAGCTGCAGGATTTGAGTCAATATTTTGGTAGGTGAAAATTAATAAAAATATAGATGGAATAAACCACATCTACTACAACCAACAGTGATTTATTAACTACACTGGAGATGCTGTTAAAGGAATAGCTGAACAATTAGGGCTACTAGCCAGAGGGCTTGGGAAAATAGGACAGCCTTAAACATGATATTAGCAGAAAGAGGAGGAGTTTGCATCATGATTAAAACTCAATGTTGCACCCTCATCCCAAACAACACCGCCCCTAATGGAAGTATAACAAAGGCATTGCAAGGTCTAGCTGCTCTGTCCAATGAGTTAGCCAACAACTCAGGGGTAAATGATCCCTTTTACAGAATGGCTAGAAAAGTGGTTCGGTAAACGGAAAAGAATAATAGCCTCAATTCTTACTTCCCTTGCAGTCGTAATGGGTGTACTTATTCTTATCAGGTGCTATGTCACATCATGCATCCATGGGTTGGTACAGAGGCTCATAGGAATGGCACTTACTAAAACCTCCCTTAACTATCCTTCACCTTATCCAAAGAAGCTTGTTCTTTTGGAAAATCAAGCAGAAGAACTAAGCCAAGACATGTTTAAAAAGTTTGAAGAGAAAAATCTGTAGGAAAATGCAAGAGGAGGGATTGTTAGATGTAAGTTCTGAATTTCTCTTCAAAGAATCAATATGTCAGTGTGTTCAATTCTTTGCCGTCTACTTTTAAACTTAACTCCCTCGCAAAGCAACCTTTTTCGATTACCTACTCCACCCTGACTCATTCTGATTACCTACTCCACCCTGAATCTTTCTGATCACCTGCTCCACCCTGACTCATTCTGATCACCTGCTCCACCCTGACTCATTCGGATCACCTGCTCCACCCTGACTCATTCAGATTACCTGCTACCTGCTCCACCCTGACTCATTCTCCACCCTGCATAACCAATTATTTTTTCCCCACCAAAGCACCCACCCCAGTCACTCTTTTTAAATTAGCCAAACAGAATTAGAGTTTAGCCTGTGGGGTTTTACCCTAGCCAATAGGGGAATGACACAGCAGCAGGGGCCACATGTGTTGCAGATAAGAACCCCTCCCCCTCCCTTGTCCAAGTGTGCACTCACCATTGCTCCATCTGTGAGAGCACACCCTTCCATAGAAGTACCTTGCCTTCCTGAGAATTAAAAAGAAAATTTTATATTCAAGTGCTATTTCTTTTGCAGCACCAAAACTTTATATAAGGAAAAATACAATTATGTTTACCACTATAGTTCTGCAAATGCTGACAATTTTGAATTTTATTACAATTGATTTTGTCACTAAATTTCAGATTCTACCATTACATTATTTTGCCAATAGCTTGAGTTTTATTTCAAGTAATATAGTATTTTATTTGCCGCTTCCATGTAGATATTTGGGCCTTCAGTATGTAAATTCAGCACTTGTAAGTTAAACTTTCACTGTAGCCACGTGTGTGCTATATCTTTTCCAAGAACACAAAAAACCTTTCTACACATATGTAGAAAACTTATTTTAGTCTACCTATATGCACCATGTTTAATTACAACCAATGGAATAATTTTCCATGGGTTTTATTCATTTTTTAAATAGCTTGAATGCTAACAAATTATCTTAATGGGTAACATCTATACACATTGCAGACAAAATATTTGTGCTTAATCAAACTGAATGAACCTTTTTATTTTTTAACTCATACAGGTGAAAAAAATCTTTAAAAATTACTGATCAATGATGACTGGCTAGACCTACTATGATGTAACAAAAATTTGTCATTTATTTAACGATTATGTTGTGGAACTACCATCTTTACGAGTGCTGCTTGGCTGACACCCCCCGCCCCCTGCCAGAAGAGCTAGAAATGGTGGTGATCACTAACTCTGCCTCCCTTGTACCAGAAATATATGCATAGCTTCTTTTATTGAATTAAGAGTTACTAATCAAAAAAAGAAGATAATTGTTTCAGGGACAGTAGTAACGACCTGTAGGTTGGAGTTGACTACAGACTTTTGAGTGGCAGAGAGTGTCATCTAGAGTTTCTTAGAAGCAGCAGTTCTTTTCTATCCAAACCAGAGCTATTTTTTTTAGAGCAGTTGGGGAAGCCTAGGCTCAAACCTAGCATTTCTTGCTATTCTGAACTCTTGGCTCCTTTTCTGCTTTATCTGGCGGAATCAGCTTCTTTTACATACAACAAATAATTTATCCCATTTAAAACAGTTGCATTTTGTGATGAACCACAATGTATCATCTAAAGCACAAAAAACACTATGAAGAAAATTACCAAGTGTTTATATTTATGAATGTAGTAATCTATTAAAAACAACAAGCCTATAATTCAAATCAATGAGACATAAATTTATAGATCTTCTTTATTAAATTTATATGGGCATATCTAGTACTGTTTGCTACATCAGCCTTCTATCCTGAGATTATTGGGGAGAGATAATGTGAAGAAAAAGGGAAAATGTTCATGGAAATAATGTGTGTGAATGCATACTAAAGTGGTGGTGGTATGTATACCCAAGTTCAGATGGATATGTTTTTATTTTTCAAATGTCTACAGAATATTATTTGTCACTATAATCAATGTTTTTTAAAAATAAGAGTTTAGATTGGACACTGAAAATTCAATACATATACAAAACTGAAGTATTTATTTTTTAGCAGCTTTGTAGAATTAGGTATTCTCTTGCCTTCAGCGTCTTGTCAACCTGATTTCCTCAGCTGTTCTCTCAGAGGAAAGAGTTTTCCCTGGTATGTGTTAATTTCAGATATTTACAAAGCATCACAATGCTTTGGTGCTGATCTTGGGATTTGGTAATTAACAAGACATAGAAATTTATAGACAATCTTGACATTTGAATGTTGTAGGGAGTCATTTTATTCCACATTTTTCATATAGACTTGCTATAAGTTTATCTTCTTTTCTCACATCTCCATCCCACTTTGGCTTCGTAGAGACATTATTTGAGAGCAAAAATGTTATTACTATGAATTCTCCTAGAACTAAAGTAACTAGATATTTTCTTAGAAATACTTCATTCAGAACAAGTAAATATGCATTGTAGAGAAAATTGTGGCTTGAATTGCAGGAAGAAAGGCAGAAACACAAAAAAATAATACTTTGTCTATAGCAGTGTTTCAATTTTTAAAAATTGAGCTTATATAATGAGAGATAGTAATGTAATGAGTGGGGTAGATGGAAGAAAGCCATTCTAGGCTATAATCCTAAAAGGCTTTTGGATTAAATAGGTCTACATTCCAACCTTTGCTCAGTAAACAATTCAGTCTTATAAATGTTCACTCTTGTTGGTGTGCTTTACTTACTTTCATAACCTGTATAAGAAAAATAAATGAACAAACAAAAATCTGTCTATCAGTGTTGCTTTGAGGATCAAGTGAGTTTGCAGGTGTGAATTGCCTAGCAAATTGAAACATTTCCTTGAAGGATTGGGACAAGTTATATTATTTTTCAATAAATATTCAGTCTCCCTTTTCTTGTCAATGAAAAGTCTGCATTTCATCCTTGACCATGAGTACTTTGGCAATGGATGTTAGCTGCTTTGACTTAATTAATATCTGAGTAGAGGCTTCAAATGTGCTTAAGATGTTTTGGATTACGCTTTCAGTACCCTGTCCTTCACCACAAAAGGAACATATCTATATTAGTTGAGGTTCTCCAGAGAAAGAGAACCAAAAAATATTTATTTTGAATAATTTAATCATGCAGTTATGGAGGCTAAGTCCCACAATCTGTCATCTGCAATTGGGACTCCCAGGAAAGTCAGTGTGGTTCAATTTAGTACAAGCAGGAAGGCCTGAGAACCATGGTAGGCAAAAGTGTAAATCCCAGACTAAAAGCAGGTGAAAACCTATGTCCTTATGAGGCAAACAGGCAGAAGACAAAAATAGCAAATTTATCCTTCCTTCACCTTTTTGTTCTATTGAGGCTCTCAATGGGCTGGATGATCCCCACCCCTCCCCTGGGGAGAGTGAAGTTCCTTGAGTCCACGAATTCAAACGCTAATTTCATCAGGAATCACCTTCACAGGCACACCTATACATGTCTTATTTGGGGGACACCCCATGGCGCATGGAAATTGACATATAAAATTAATCATCACAGTGCCCAAATACTCACTCACCGCTTTATAGTCTGGAGCCTAAAAAGAGAGACAGATGGAGCAGATTTAAGCCAGATTGTTTTCTTTCTCTGTAATTTGTGCTTGAGGTCTCTCTCTTGACAGTGTGTATGAACGCTCGGCCTGCCCTGACAGGACTTCAGAGGATTTGGTTGTGGATGTTACAGTGTGCCTTTCACAGTGTACTCCTTTACCCTGGCAGAAAGCCTATTCCTCAAGTGTCCAACATGGGATTCACTAGGCCTATTGATCACCGCCCCTTCTCCCGCTCCCTGCGTGGACTGGAGACCATTGTTCAGTTACAGCAGTGTGGGAATCATGTTGGATACGTGGACAATAGGCTGTCTGCCAGTGTCACACTGCTGTGACTGAGCAATGGTCTTCAGTCCATGCAGGGGGTGGGGTGGGGGGAGCGCGGTGGTGATCAATGGGCCTAGTCCAGAAGACTCTGTCTGTATGTCCCATAGGGAGGTCACAAAGAAGTCCTTATTGAGGGCAGATATCTGGACTCACCACATTCAGTAACTGGGAGAGAGCTGAGAACTGGAAATTTGGTGAGTGATGTCTGTGTTCTGCTCCTGGTACAAGACAATCTGATACTCAAAATAGATGCCCAGGCAACATAATATTATAAGTATTCACTGTAAATCCATAGCCCAGTGGAAAGCCACAGCCAACCTGCAGATTTAAGAAAAAGAATTAAGAGTTTGTTATTCAGCCAGGTGGGGTGGCTCACGCCTATATTTCCAGCAGTTTGGGAGGCCGAGGTGGGCAGATCACGAAGTCAGGAATTCGAGACCAGTCTGGCCAACATGGTGAAACCCCATCTTTACTAAAAATACAAAAAATTAGCTGGGCGTGGTGGTGGTCGCCTGTAATCCCAGCTACTCCAGAGGCTGAGACAGGAGAATCACTTGAACCTGGGAGGCAGAGGTTGCAGTGAGCCGAGATCGCACCACTGCACTCCAGCCTGGGTGACAGTGTAAGACACTGTCTCAAAAAAAAAAAAAAAGTTTGTTATTGTAAGTCACTAAGATTTTATTTTATTTTTATTTTATTTATATTACAAAATGTTGACTGATATAGGGGCCAATAAGCACTACATTTTTCTTGCTCAAGTTCAGAGATTTTTCTCAAGGCCAACCCAGCAGGAGGATCCTTTATTTACTTAAACAAACAGTTAGAGTCCAGTTATGTTTTTCTATTATGGAACAGGTTAAACATGTGAATCGAACTTTGTTTTTTAAAAGCTCTGAAACAAGAGACTTATAACAAGCTTACTAATGAAAAGGTAGCATTTGCTGTAACTTGACTGCATAAAGTAAGGCCTGATGAAAATGAAATATTAATATGCAGGTTATGTTAGATGCTGCTTCGGAATTTCAGAAAAATGAACAGTAATCAAATGAGGGTGTCACATAATACACAGCAAGCAGAGAGCCAATTATGTAAATGAACACCCAAGGTTAGCTTGATACAATGCTCTTTAATTTGACAAATATTAAAATCAACTTGTTCTTAATGTAATAGATGGCTGTGACAAAAGTTAAAGAGCACCCAGTGTTTTTGTAATCCCTGTCAAATTAAAAATGCTAATGTGAGTGAGCTGCTTTCATCAGTACAATAGTTGAAAGGCCCAAAATGTACAACATTTCCTGGGTTTCAGTAACATTAGACTAAAACGTTTCTGAGATAAAAGTCATAATGACCAGTGTACATCTACTTCCAACAACTGAAAATACATAACGGTAAACTCCTGTTGCCTCAGTACATTTACAAAATAAGAAGAGCTTCTCCCATTTAGCTGATTTTATTTGAATAAACTGCAGATACATTTTCATAATTACGTGAATTTTATTCATGACTCTATAAAAATGATTTGGCAGAATCTATCTTCCTTTTTTATCTTCTTACTTACTAGTCTACTTTCCCAGCTAGTCTACTTTCTTTTTTTTAATCATTGCTAATAATATAAATAGAGAATATTGATTTAATTTTCTGTATAAACTAAATGCATATGTATACTTACATTTATTAACGTGTGTGTGAAAACATAATCACATAAGAAAAAATATATAGCCATATGATTTTCAACACCAAAAGAATACCATATTTACAAAATCACTGGGGTGTTTAATATTATTTAATTTTTTTATTTTAAATTTGATAATAATTGTGCCTCATTTGGGGAAGGTAATATTTTTATTTTTAGTGTTTAGTGATTTATATCTGAAATTTCTTTCTTTCTATAGAACTATGAATATATGATTCTCCTAAGCTTTGATTATCTTCTAAGAAAAAAATGAGAAAATTATTTTCACCTTGACAGTGTTCTCGTTCTCGCTAACAGGTGTCAAATTGTTTTTATGTTAGCCTATAATTTTCACCAGAAGAAAAACAACAGAATGAGGAAAAGAAAGGGTTTAGGAAAGTAACAAACTTACTTACACACTTAGACTTTTATCTCTAGAAATCATTCTCTATAATTAAACAAAATGGGTGTGAATTTTCTTTAAATTAAATGTACTCATTTCATGTCTTTGAACCTGATGATAAAAATAGATAGTGGATATTTCAGAAATATATTCTTAATAATTAAAAAGATGAGCTATTAATTATTCTTTAGTTTATGTACTAGGGTTTTATGAGACTGGAGACTATAAAATCTGTGTAAACTGTTTAAGTGAAAGAATGTAAAATTTCAAATACAAAATTCTGTATACAGAGAATATAATATAAATAAAGCAAAGAAATTGTTCATGCAATGAAGAGTCCTGAAGTCTACAGTTTATTTCTAAGAAATCCATTCTTTTTTATATATAATAATTGACAAAGCCCTTGTTCATATTAATAAATACTCCCTTTTCAAAGAAAGAATAGCATTTTGAAATAACAATGTGTAAGAGACGCAAAACAAGGTTAAATATAAGAAAGAATATATGCAGAAAAAAATTAATTGACCATTTAAAAATACTATAATGCTATACTCCAATAAATTTTGATTATAAAAATGTTTTAAATATAAGCATTTATGACACTCAGGAAGTTAGGCAGAAAAGGTTAAAGTACATTATATGATTTTGCCATTTTTGCTCTTTGCATTGTATTACATATAGGATAAAAGTATTTATTACATTTTAGATGAAAATCTATTGCAACACTATACCTAGCTTCTTCCAAACTCTGAAGACATTAACAGAAAATAAATCTCAGTTAATGATATTCAAGGGATGTATTAGTAACAGAAGCTCATAGGATCTCCCACCTACACACTTCCTTTTGAAAATCACAAATTAAATTATGTAAATTAAATACACAGGTTTTATTTGATAATCATCATAAAATAATATGAAAGCCTGTATGAGAACTTCAGATATTTAGAATAAACAGTTTCTCATTGTTATATTAGGTAATAATAATATGTTTTTTAGTAAAAATAATGTAAGTTTTAACTTCAGCTATTCTATGTAGAATAACTAAAATTTAGAAATAATAATGATTTGGATCACAGTTTTGTAATCACAATATTCATTAATTAAATACAATAAAATAACAACTGGCTAATAAAATACTCAAATTACCTCTATAATTTTGTGCAGTGATTGCAAAGAGTATGCTATAAAAGCTCTATAAGCTCTAATGTCAAATATGATAGCTAGTAGACACATATGATAGCCATTAGATACAAATAGCTATTTCAGTTTAAACATCAGTTAATTAAATCAAATTAAATTAAAAATTTAGTTCTGATGTCAAACTAGCCACATTACAACAGCCACATGTAGCTGATGACTACCATATTTGGTAGCATATGGACAGTTTTCATCATTATATAGTTTTTTTTTAATCATATAGTGTTACAAGAAAGGCTCTGGGAAATTGCACCACAAGTCAATCATTTGTTGATCTACCACTAATGAATTGAAAATCTCCCAGGCACCACCATGACATTGCTTTATCTTGTGTTTTTCAGCTCTATCTTTACTTGTTATGTACTGGTGATTTTTGTTTCTTTATTTTTCAAAGTTTTGCTATTTTAAGAAGTGTGGAAATCAATGAACTTATAAATTAACATATTTAGATATTTTAGGAAATGAAACGTTCCTTTTTACTCAAACATTTTATTACAAAAATTGTTAACATACATAAACATTGAAAGAATAGCATATAAATCCCATATAAACCCTGCCAATGTTTGAACACTCCTTTCTTAGTAATTGATAGAATGATAAACAGAAAATCACTAAGGATGTTAAATATTTGGACAATATGCTTAACAAAATTTAATATTTGATATCTATTAAATAAACAACTCAAGAATATATGTTATTTTGAGTGCAGCAGGAACATTTACCAAGTTAAATGTTCAAGTTAAAACACAAATTCTTGTCTAATAAACACTCATGATAAATGTCAAGGATTTCAAATATACTAACTGAGTTTTCTCACTAAAATTGCATTAAATTAGAAATCAAAAAGTATGTACCTACAAAATTACCAAATGTTTGAGAATGAAGTATAACATTTCTAAATAACTCATGTCAAAAAATAAATTAAAATAAAAAGTTGTAGAATATTTCAAACAATATTAATAAAGCTACAGCATATCAAAATATGTGAGATGAAAATAATGCAGTGTTTTGATGAAAATGTATGGCCTTAAATACCTATATTAGAAATACAAACTGTATAAAATTATTTAGAAAGTAAAAGAAAATAAACAATAAAAACAAAATAACAATCATATATAGATGAACATTTCAGAACGTTAAAAAAGCCAAAATTTTGTTCTTCAGAAAGATTAATACAATTGATAAATCAATCCAAAGCAATGTCGATTAGGAAAATAAAGGAGAAAAAGCAAATCAACAATAGTATAGTTCTTACAACATGAACTATATGTAAAAAATGACAACTTAGATTAAATGGAAAAAATTCTAAAATAACTTCTCTTACTAACACAGAAGAAAGATGGAAAATATAAATAACATTCTTTATAATAAAAAAATAAATTTCTACTAAAAAAAGTTCCCACAAATAAATCTTCAGGCACAGATGATGTTCCTGGAAGAATTCTATCACACTTTTCCTTCATAAATAACATCACCTTAATATACATACATACTTTCAGAAAATAGAAGAGAATGAGAGCCTCAACAACTTGCTATAGGAAGGCAGAATTACCCAAATACAAAAATATGATATTGACATTACAAGATAAGAAGAACACACCACACAAATATCCTTCAGGAACATCAACCCAAAAAGGCATAACAAATATTGGTAAATGAAATCCAGCAATATATAAAAAGTTTTATAATGTCCATGACCAAGTGGAATTTGTCTGAATAGTCATATAATAAATAAATCAATTTAATAAGTACATAAACATCTTTTCAGAAGGGAAGCCCAGACCCAGATATTTTCAGAACATGAATTCATTGTTTATTCTTTAGCCCATAAGATGTGAAGGTGAAGGCCTGTTGACTTCAGCAGTGAAGTTTCATCATCTCAGTTTTCTGATTCCTACATCACAGCTTTCTGTCACCAGGAAAAGGAGAACAAGAAGTCAAGTATTCTTGAACTCATTGTTTCATTAGTGACTTCAGAGATAGTGGCTTCCCTGGTAGGTCTGTTCTATATTGTTCTTATAATCATTCTATTAGGCTTAGTGAGAACCTACTCGTCAGCCTTTCCAACAGTTTTCTAAGCATTTAGTTATCTGTAGCAATTTTCTTCTTAAATTACATAGGGTGGTTTCTGTTTCCTGAGGCAAATTCTCTCTGACAGACTCATACTATTAATATTTGAATGTCAAATACTGTGTACTTGCTTAAAAGTAACACCAACCATTTAGTATATAAACTTTGAACACTTAAATTGGAATTTTGTTTTACTAATTTTCTGATTATTTTCTGTATATCTGACACATTGCAGAGCTTATACTCCATAATTATATGAAGCATTTTGTGGGAATTTCCACAAATGTTAAAATTTTGTAGGAATTTAGTTATTTCTCTTTTCAATATAACCAGATTTATTATTTTCAAGACATTCAACAATACTGTCACCATATTTTTGGGGGGGGTATTTATATTCATAGATTAACAGATTTTCACATTTGCTCAGTCTTCCTCATTCTCAATCTAATGCATGGATTTATTTTTTAAAAAATATCAAGAAAATATAAAAATCAAAGACATAAGGGGGCTGAGGTAAGAAAGGTAGTTCAGTGAATATAGAATTATAAGTAATCATAATTTCTTTATTTTGCATTTGAGTTTTGCAACTGCTCATCGTAGTAATTTTTAAGCCACTGGCATGCCTTACCCACATTAAATGAGTGTGATTGTCTGCTTTTTAAACATTCCTGCTACCAATTCATTGTTTTTGGTTTTTATCCTCTTGTTTCTGGTATAGTGTCAATTTTCTTCACATTACTTTAGATATTTGTAGTCAACCTCAAAACCTTACATATGAAGTGTAAAGGGAAATACTCGGCTTTAATAAAATTGAAATTTAAATAATAGATTTTACATAGGGTTGTGATTTGATCTTGTCAGTCTTGGTTTACATTTATGAACCTAGCATGTTTATTCAGGGTGATTTATTATGTTCTCAAGATTGTCTCGGCTTTGTATGATTCTTGTGGTCTCCCTACTTATACCATTTATGCAATATAGACATCTCCTACTCTTTCAAACTCTACTTTTATAGGCATTTGTTTATAAATAATGCACAGTTTGTCCTGACTGCTCAGTTGTTACGTTCTCTAAAACATCAGGATCATTTGTGTCGATGCATTTTAAACATGCCACATCCTATGCCTCATTAAACACACCTAATATCTTATCTTACTAATGCAATTCATCCTTTAGGTCTTAGCTTACATGAAATTTCTACAGAAAGGACTTTTTGAACAACCGTTAATAATTTGATTACTCTTTTTCTCTTTTATAACAATCTGTCCATTTTTCACATCCTCAAATATCATATTTAATATTTATCTTCTCTAATACTCTGTAAACTTCAGATTGGCAAAAGAAAACATAAATGCTTTGTGTACCACTGTGTACACAGTGTCCAAAAGACTTCCTGGAATACACAGGTGGTGTTTAGTATTTAAAGGAATATAAGATTACTCTAATGCAAAAATGATCACCCAGATAATTTGCCTTTCAGGATGATTTCACTGTAAAAAGTTATGCATTACAAATAAACTCATAAAAATGTGATTCTATTAGCAAAGTATTGAAACTGACCTCATAGAAATGTTGTGAATGTTGATAATTCGTTAAGAAATGTCATTCTTGGGATTTATATATTTTTATGGCTTCATGGGCAAAGGTAACTGGAAGGAAGAAGATAAAGACAGAATTATTCATTTATGCTAACTGCCAAAACTTATTTGTAATTAATTATTGCCTGGATTTTGATTTAGTGAAAGCACTACTACACTATTTTACATCAAGAATAATAACGTTGTTGGAGTAATAGCCTCTCATTCATTTTAATTTTAGACTTATTTTTGTTTATATCTACAATCTTACTTATTTAGTGTAATATGTCTATTTTATGTCCTTTTTATCTACCTTTTTGTTTTAGTTTTAATTGATTATTCTAATTTCCCCTCTGTTAGTGTATTATTTATATAATCTTTTACCATTCTGATAGTAATTACCATAGAAGTATCTAAATTTATGATTGATTTCTTACAATGTAATTTAAATTATATCCTTTACCACTTTTGGGATAGCTTAAGACAATTTGACTACTTTTGTCTTTCACCTTTAACATTGCTGATATCACATTAGCACTACATACATTTTAAATTTCATATGTTATCATTTTTATACTGTATAGTAAATATGTAGTCAACATTTATTTTCATTTATCCCTATATCTAAACATTCTATTGCTCTTCCTTTTTCATGTCATTCCATCTTTCCATCTGTGATTATATTCTAGCTTAACAAATTTTTAATGTATTTCTCTTAGAAGTCTGATTGAAATGGACGTTTAAACTTTTGTCAGATAAAATGTTTATGAACTCTTAATTTTGAATGGCATATTAACAGAATTTAAAAGTTTAGTTTGGAAGTTATTTTCTTTCAGCACTCTAAAAATTCTATCCCACCTCTTCTAGCTTATTTATGTTGAAAACTCAGTTGTTAGTCATCTCACAGCTACCATGACACTAATGTGTGTATTTTTCTCCAGGTAGTTTTAAGATTATCTGTTTTATTTATAGTTGTCCTACTATAATATGCCTTGATACTTTTGTAACTATGTTATTTATGGCTAGTAGATAATTTTGATTCTATGGGTTGATCTCCGTATCACCCATTCTTTTCTTTTCTTTTCTTTTCTTTTTTTTTTTTTTTGTGACGAAGTCTTGCTCTGTCACCCAGGCTGGAGTGCAGTGACACGATCTTGGCTCTCTGCAAGCTCTGCCTCCCAGGTTTACGCCATTCTCCTGCCTCAGCCTCCTGAGTAGCTGGGACTACAGGCGCCCACCATCATGCCCGGCTAATTTTTTGTATTTTTAGTAGAGACGGCGTTTCAACGTGTTAGCCAGGATGGTCTCGATATCCTGACCTAGTGATCACCGCGCCCAGCCCTCACCCATTCTTTTCTAGTAGCGGCAGTGGTCTTGAATTCAGCTTGACTATGCAGTTTGTAAAAACAATAGCTTCACCTGAAACCACATTTATGGGCCGGGCACGGTGGCTCACACCTGTAATCCCAGCACTTTGGGAGGCCGAGGGGGGAGGATCAGGAGGTCAGGAGATCGAGACCATCCTGGCTAATAGGGTGAAACCCTGCCTCCACTAAATACAAAAAATTAGCTGGGTGTGGTGGCGGGCCCGTGTAGTCCCAGCGGCTCGGGAGGCTGACGCAGGGAGAATCGCTTGAACCCTGGCGGTAGAGCTTGCAGTTAGCCGAGATCACGCCACTGCACTCCAGCCTGGGGGACAGAGGGAGACTCCCTCTCAAAAAAAAAAAGAAAAAGAAAAAGAAAAAACCACATTTACTGAATTTGAAGAAAGGAAACAGCAAAAAACATTCACTAACAGCATAGCAATGATCTCCTGATTTTCATGCATAGCATCTGATGTCCCAGTCATGTGTATTCACTATGTGTTTGTTGACAACCTCAGCTCCAGAAAGGTATCAATTATGGGATTGCTTTGGCTTAATTACATTTCCAACTCAGGAAAATAATTACTCAGGACAATGAGATTAGCTTCCATTCTCCAGGTAAGCTGCATCTCATCAGTCCCGGTTATTTATTACTCAGTCTCAACAAGCAGTTACAGGTGCTTGGTTTCACACTCTGTTCAGATTCTCATTTGTCTTAAATGAAACATGTTTAGTCAATCTTGAGTAACCCTATGAGTAAAAGTTATATGGAGTATCCAAAAATGCAAAAATCTTTAGGTATCTCTAAGGTTATAATAAAAATCTTAAAATCTTCTAACCCTTTTCTTTGGATTTACCTCCATCTTAGTCTCTGGAATGCTTGCTACAGTTTACACAGACATTTTAAAAAATAATACTTTGGGGAAACATCTTCAATACTTGATACGTTAAGACTATTAGGAATTCCCTCCTGGAACACATTAAACATAACCATAACCCCAATGCTTACTCATAGTACTTTACTACCTGGACTATTTGTCACACAATTTTACCTACCATTACTTGAAACTTTCTACAGATGTTAATAGAAGCATTTAACTGTGTGTGTAACTTTCTCAAAGCTAAATTTCTTTCTTTCTATTAGTCTCCATGTATATTATATTAGTTTGAATTTTACATCAACTATTCAAAATATTTTTCTCTTAGGGATTGTTTTCTGTAGACTTTAATTTTTATTTAACTATACATATAAACCAAAATAATTTGTATTATACACATAGCTATTGAAAAAGTATTCATGTAGAGATTAACACAGCAACCATTAGTTAATAGTAATGTAATTGTTAATACTAATGTAATTGTTTTATACCTTATTTGGGGGAAAAAAGCCACAGATATTCATTTTTGAATTACTTAATGTTATCGTTTATATATTCTTGGAGAGAAAGTGCTCTTTTCTTATATACTCTACATTTTATGACTTAGAATCCTTAGAGATCACTACTCAGCAAAATCTACGGTCCTTCCTATCTTGGGGCATAACTTTATGACTTGGGGCAAGTCACAAAGAACACATGTTCTTTGGCTCAAGTTTCCAAGTATCACTAGGGAAAATCATTCATTCATCTTGCATTCATTCAACATGGCATTTATATTCATCTGACTCTTCCAACCAATTGTACCAGAGGAAATATGGGTTTCTTTTCCTTCACTGGCACAGTGGCTAACAGGAAGCAGAGGTAAGCCCCACAATTGACAGTGATGAGTTTGCATTATATACACAGACCACAGGAGTCTCAAAAACTGACCTCACTCTTCTGACCCTTCAGCATTCCCAGTCATGTCCTTTAAACATACCAGAGCATATTGGAATTAATATGTTAAAAATCTTTCTTTAATGAAGGTTTATACCTTCACCAAGATTTCTACTGAGTTTAATACAATATTAGTGTTGAAATATTTGAGCAAAACATCTCCCTCTGCCAGAAAAACAAATACTGTCCAGAGCTGGTTTGATTGCATCCGGCAAGGTAATGGCACATATTTGTGACTTAGAAGAGAGAGAATTTTGTGATCTCATGACTTACCCAACACATGAACCAATTCCCACTGAATCATATAAAACTTTCCCAAAAATATTCCTCATTCACTACTTCTCATATTCAAATGAAAGACAGATTCACTCAGTTGAGGGAGCCAGCCCTTAATTTCCTTACCTTGCCCTATGGTAGTTTCTTTGGCTATATAGCGAATTACTTCAAAACATACTTTGAAATTGTGAGCAAATGAACTCATCATCAAACAGTTATTATGGTGCTGGATTACACAGGTTAAGAATTCAAATAGGTCATAATGAGGATGGTTTTTCCCTGCTCCATGATACCTGGGGCCTAAGAGGGATGACTCCAAGCCTGGAGGCTAAAATTATTTGGTTCTCATTTCTTCAAAAGAATGCTGGCTTGCAGTGGGAATGAAGGGCCTCATTTACTTTCTACCTGGGCCCCTACCTGTGAACTCACCATGCCCCCTCCCTAACAGGATGGTGCTTGGATTCCAAGGGTTTGTATTCTTAGAGTGAGCAGGAAAGAAGCAATATCCTTTGTATGGCACATATATCCCTTTTGCCATATTCTAGGGGACTAAGAAATTACAAATTAACTAACATTCAATCCAAGATGAAGCTATGTGTCACTTTTCAGTGAGAGGAGTGTCCATAACATTATAAGCAAGACATGCAAGAGAAGAGACTGAGAGAGGAGAATAAATTGTGGAAATCAGTGAAAAGTCCAAAATACTGGTAATTGGAATCCAATAACGTAAAGTGATAGATAATAAAGAAAAGTAATATTTGAAAAGATAATGGATACAAATTTTCAAAACCTGATGAGTGTCATTAGAAGACAATGTTAATGACTAGTTGTGTAGTCTTTTCCTCTAGCATCAGACACACCAGAGAATTTGATCTTTCATTAAATCCACCTTACAACATTAACTCAAGGAACAATTAGGAATCTGTATGGGATCAATGATGAATAAGAATTCAGCCTAGGTTATGTACTGAACAAAACCCTTGTATCTCATTGTTAAACATTATTTAACAAGTAATGAATGGCTGGATTTCATGAGATGTAACTGAACAGAAAAGGGGGTTATTTATGAATCCTTTGAGAATTTTGTAATTAGCCAGTCCTATATCCTTGAGGGAATAATGTGACCAGCTAAGGGTATTCTTTGAAGGGTATTCTCTATGGCTTTTTTGAAATGACCACTTTCTCAAACAGGCTCACCTCTCATGTTTACATACATCATGAGTGGCATCAAGTCATATCCTTGACTTTAGGATATCTGAACCTTTGGAAATTGTAACTAGAAGTCTTAAAACATTAGCTACGTATTGATTCTCTCACCTTCAGAAAAATGGAATGTCCTCTTTCATAAGGTAAATCAATCTGATATGGAATGAAACCTGTTTTGTGTTTTTTGTTGTTGTTTTTGGTTTTCCTAATGAAGCAGATTGTCAATCCAAACCTATAACCATTGTTGTTTGAAAGCATGAGCATTGCAGGGTAGTATCAGAAGCGGGGTTGACTGTTAGTCTCCAAAATCTATTAGTTAAAGAAATTTTAAGTTAAAAATATATATGTATAGAAAAGAGTTAAAAATTTTTGATGATGGCATGGTGGTCCTCCTGTCCTTGGTTTGAAGAACTGAAAGCAGCAGATATTCAGTGGTGAATCTTATCAGTGGAATATAAATGAAATACCTTTATCTCAAAAAATTGATAAAATAGATTGCAAAGAGGGGGTGTAAAAAGTTGGTAATGGCTATGAAATACCATTTTCTGAGTGTGCCAACCCTTAGCAATAATACGTCCACTGATATGAGAAGGCAAAGTAAACAAAACTGAGCAAAGAAAAATTTGAGGCATATTTGAAACTATGGCAGGAAAAATAATGCCTCCCCCAAAAGTTGCCGCACCCTAATTGCCTAAATCTATGTATATGTTAATTTAAAAAGCAAAAGTAACTTTTGAAGACATAATTACAATAAGGCTATCGAGTTGGAGAAATTTTCCTTAGTTATCTAAGAGGACACAATATAATCACAGGGTCCATATAAAAGAGAGTCAGGAAGGTCAGAGTCAGGAAATTCAGAGTCAAAGAGGGTCCATATAAAAGAGAGATAGGAATATGACAACAGAATAGGAGATCTTTGGAGTAAAGCAGCCAAGAACCAAGGAACACATGCACTTTTCAGAAACTGGAAAAGAAAAGGAAATGTTTTCTTCCTTAGAGTCTCGGGAAGGAATACAGGTTTGCTAACACCTTGATATTAGCCCCATAACAACATTGGACTTCTGACTTCCAGAACTGTAGTATAATAACACTATATTGTTTTAAGTCACTATATCTGGGATAATTTGTTACAACAGCAACAAAATGTTTAGGTACCAGCAACATAAGTTTCGAATATGCAATGATGAGTAATGAGGCAAGACAAATGATATACCTCTGATCTAAACAATGGTAGATGCTATGATTCAGATAGTACTCATTCTCTGTATGGACTTTATTCAACCCTCCTTTTAAGAGGGAAAGAGACTATTTTGGAATCTGGGCCAATTCGCTACCATGCAAATGTGCTCTTCATTGGTATTAGCAATGTTAGAGTCATTCAAAAGAAGGAGAATGGCTGACAGAAAATAATGATAATAAGAAAGAACTAAACTAAACTGAGTAGTACCATAATATTTAATAAATAATGGGATAATTTAAATAGATAAAATTAATATGGTTGCCATAAAAGAAAAAGAAAAAGCGAGAAAAACCCTAGTGGTGCATTGTTGCTATCTGGATAGAGGAAAACCAATCCCTGGGTCAGGTAACACACCAGCTTAAACAGCCTGTTAAATATGTTCCCTTTATTCTATCTTGAAAAAATTTAAATCCAATAATGCAAAAATGGATGGAAAACAATATCAAAAACCAAAGCTATATAAAAGATGAGATTAAACTGAATCTTTTAATGTGGTAGTGGTAAAGGATGAATGACTTGAGGCTTAGTGTTATCTCCCCAAACCTCTATCTAAGACTCTAAGACTGCATGCTAAGGTTAAAGTTAAATAGTCTGCGGTAGAAAACAATATATTTTGAGAGGAATAGATTTTAATGCAAAATATACTGGAAGACAAGAAGACACAATTAGATGACTTAAACTGAAACATGGGGGCCACATTCATACTATGGCAGCAGTCACCAGCATTATAGCATAACTATAGATTAACCTGTACCATGGTATGGTAACATTACCTGCAATAGCATGCCTAATTGGGAAGAAGGAGAGTATAAATTGGAATAACTACCATTGATGGCCTACAGTTGAATATTGGGCAATTCTGAAATTTGTTATATTATTATAAGTAATAGGAAACTTTTAAATAGGAAAATTTTAGAACAGCTGAAACTAGAAATACAGTATTTAATAAAAGAATGGTACAAGTAGGCACACTTACACTCAAAATACCTCCAATTACAAGAATCCTGTGAGATTCTAAGGAAAGTTAGCACAGTCGAGTGACTATGGTTAAAAATAATTTATTATATATGCCAAAAGAGCTAGAAGATTTGGAATGTTCCCAACAGAAAGAAATGATGAACGTTTGAGGTGAAGGATTGATTATCCCAATTACCCTGATTTGATCATTACACATTTGCATGTAAATATAAAAATGTCACATGTACCCAATAAATATAAAAATTATTATGTATCAGTTAACAAATTGAAAAAAGTATATAGTTCCTGAAAAGCAAATGTTCACTTTACGGTTTAAATTAATTCCACCAATGGCCTCTCTGTTTCTAGGTATGAATACACTAAAGTATAAAGTTGATTGTTATGCTGTCATACAGGTAGCTAAGGTTTTCTTTCATTTTCTATCTTAGTTTTGAAGAACGCTGAACACCCGTTCTTTTTTTGTAGAGGTGGAGTTTTCCCATGTTGCCCATGCTGGTCTGGAACTCCTGAGCACAGGTGATCCACCCGCTTCTGCCTCCCAAAGTGCTGGAATTACAGGCATGAGTGACTGCGCCTGACCCATTTCCTTGTTTCTCTTTTCTTTGTTTTTCCCACCTCCCGTAGAAACAACTGAAGAACAGCAGAATACAACTATTCGTTCCCTAGGGCGCCTAAATTTCCCAGTGTTCCTTTAGAATCTGATGAGATGAGGTTTAGATCTGATGACCATCAAAAGTAATTGGATTCTTTACATTGATTATATTATAGAATTGTTTTCAGAAAAGATAGTCAAGAAATTTTAGGAAATGTAATATATAACTAATTGGTATAGCCTATATGCTGTACCAATAGGATATATAATAAGATATATAAGCAACGGTTCATTAAACCATCTAAAACTTAGGACTCAGGCCAATCTTTTAAATCATTAGGGATATTCTCGGCATGGACCTCAAGAGATAGAAAATAAAAATATGAAATATATACTGGCTTTACTGAATTTTTCTGACTATAAAGTTCTATAATGTTATATAAGACTTTTTGTATTTTTATTGACACATATTCTTCCAATGGGTATCTGATTAGTGACTACAAATATCGTTCCCAGAAATAAATATGAATATTATGTGATTCAGAACAAAAAGAGGTTTCTGAGAGACTTGCAGACAATAGTAGTCCAAGGGGTGGCATTTGGGATATATAATGCTAAAGCTGGTTTATATCATCAGTGATAATATATCTTATTAGATTAGTATGATTAAGAATAAACTTGTTATGCTGAAGTGCTAACCCGCTCCTTAAGCCTACTCTATGTTTCCCAACACATTTAATTTTGCTCTTGCTAAATATCCACCTCAGGTTGGCAGAGATTCAGACAGAGTATCCATCTTGACAAGTCCTTTCAGAAACAGTAGCAGGGAGAAAGTGGATATAGAGAATCATGCACTAAGCTTCGAAAGTTTATAAGCAAAAGTGCCATGGGTTTCTTCTACTCAGACTCCAATGTCCAGGCAAGTCATATGGCCACATGTAACATTACGGTGTGCAGGAAAGTGCAGTTTTATTGTGTGCCCACAAAGAAGAGATCCAAAATATTTGTAGTAATTCTAATTATTAAAATATGCAGGCTTATTAACTTGGATCTATTAATAACGGTAGCTAGGAATTAGAATTTGCTATATTGTATGTACCATATTTCATTTGAACATGTTGTAAAGTGTGGGCACAAAAATATATTATTTTTAAAGGTGCTATGCATCTCCCATATGTATATTTTGAAGTTATATTCTAATTGCTCACAACCGTTAGAAACCATTCCTCTTTTGTCTGAGTACAATTATATTTAGATTTAGTAGTTTAACACATAGAGTCTAAAATGTTTCAATTTATCGAATTAGATTGTGATCATATTAAAGGAATAAAGATATTGAGTATGCTCTGATGCAAAATTGTTATGTGCCCACTTGAATTACTATATTAACATATTCAATAATTAAGATGATAATGTTCAAAGGCATTTGCAATAGTAAAATATTCCCTTTTGTGAAGGTTCCTTATTCTCTCAATTCTCCTGAATAGCTAAAAATAATTATTTCGCTGTTGTTTTTTACACGTTTATTTTACAAATACAATGTACACATATGTGTTTATATGATTAGTTGTACATTATATTTTGTTGATGCAGAATGGGTGACTACATTTTGCTAAAAATATGACAGTTAATTTACAAGTCCCCTATAATAAACAGCGTAGGAATTAGAAGGAGAGTCACATAGGAAAACATACGTATAATTCTCTTGGGTTCATTGATTTTTCCCTAGTAGGTTGTGTTGATAAAAAGATTTAGCTTTCTTAAGTTTCCTTATCCTAGTCTCAGGTGTTAGACTTTTATTTTCTTTCTCATTTTCTATTTCCCTTAAGTTCTTATCTGTCTATATCCCCTTGCTTCTTTGCTTTGGATTCTGCCAACATAACTTTACAAATCTTTTTAGGACATATGGGAATTGGGGTTCTAGAAATATTTCTGAAGGTGAGTTTCTTACCTGTATTCTTCTAGTTAAGCTTTCAGAGTACTATGTGGAGTTGTCCTCATTTTAAGTCCCCATTATCATATCCTGGTATCTACTTACAGTTTAGCTTCCAACTCATTCTATTTAGGATAAGTGTATTTTATCTGATTTTCTTTCATACTCATGAATCCTTCTGTAACAAACTGTTAATCTGTAATATTACTGTTCTGAAAAGTGGAGTACAGCTTCAGCATGATTCAAAGTATTATATTGCAAGAATTTTCTTCATTCCACTTTAAAATTTGTGAATGCAAAATAATTCATCCATGTTTGAGAAGTCAGAATTAATAAAATATTCAAAAGAAAATAAAAATAAATGTAATTTTAACCTCTATAAAATACAAACAATATAAAAATGTAACAAAATATTACATAACAATTTATAAAGGTCATTTAAGTCCTTACTTTACATATACATGTATGTATGTATGTGTAAATGTATATGTATGTATAGACATACATGTGTGTGTGTATATATATGTATGTATATACATACATGTACATTTACACATACATACATATACATTTGTACCAGTTCTTCTCTGTATGTCTGGTGGAATTTGGTTGTGAATCTATGTTATCTTGGGCTTTTGGGGACAAAATAATTTTTATTATTGATTCAATATCACTACTTGTTAGACGACCATCTGTTTAGAATTTCTATTTCTTTTTGTTTCTTTATTCATTTCTTCCAGGATGCATAGTTTGTGAGTATAGAGATGTTCATAGATGTCTCTGACGGTCTTCTGTATTTTTTGTAGTATTGATTTTAATGTCTCTTTTTTCACTTCTGGTGATGCTTATTTTAATCTTTATTCTTCATTTTTGGTTAATCTAGCATGTAGGCTATCAATTTTGTTTATCTTTTCAAACAACCAAATTTTAATTTTGTTAATATTTTGTATTGATTTTTGTCCCCTCAACTTCATTTAGTTCTGCTCTTATCTTTATTGTTTCTCTTCTTCTTCTCTTTGGGTTTGGCTTGTTTTTCCTTTTCTAGTTCCTTCAGATGTGACATTGGGTTGTGAATTTATGATTTTTCTTTCCTTCGATGTCAGCAGTTAATGCTATAAATTTTCCTCTTAGCACTGCATTTGTTGCATCCCAGAGATTTTGGCATGTTACATCTCTATTTACATTTGTTTTATTATTTTTAATTTTTAGCTTAAATTTGTTACGAACTCAAAGATCATTCAAGAGCAAATTGTTTAATTTCCATGCATTTGTATAGTTTTGAGAATTTCTTTGTGAATTGATTTATAGTTTTATTCCTCTGTGACCTGAGAAGATACTTGACATAATTTTTATTTTAAAAAATTTGAGACTGTTTCACGGTGTAACATATGGTCGATCAAATATGACATAATATCTATCAATAAGATAGACCATATGTTTGTGGCCCAACATATGATCTATTATCAGCACATGGAACAAGTCTAAAGAATGTTTCAGCCAGTAATCCCAGCACTTTGTGAGGCAGATGTGGGCAGATCACTTGAGGTCAAGAGTTTGAGACCAGCCTGGCCAATATGGTGAAACCCCATCTATACTAAAAATACAAAAATTAGCCAGGCGTGGTGGCACACCTCCAGTTTACTCAGGAGGCTGAGGCAGGAGAATCCCTTGAACCTGGTAGGCAGAGGTTGCAGTGAGCTAAGATCACACCATGGCATACCAGCCTGGTATGCTAGACTCCATCTCAAAAAAAAAAAAAAAAATTCCACCTGCTCATGAGAAGAATGTATTTTCTGCTGTTGCTGAGTAGAACGTTACGCAAATATCTATTATGTTCATTTGGTCTAAGTCCAATTAAAATCCAATTATTTTGTTAATTTTATAGCTCAATAATCTGACTAGTGCTATGACTGGTCAGCTAGTACAGCTAGACTATATAGTATAGTCTAGTATATAGACTAGTATATAGTATATAGTATAGTTTAGTCTGGTATAGCTAGACTCCATCTCAAAAAAAAAAAATTCCACCTGCTGATGAGAAGAATGTATTTTCTGCTGTTGCTGAGTAGAACGTTATGCAAATATCTATTATGTTCATTTGGTCTAAGTCCAATTAAAATCTAATTGTTTTGTTAATTTTGTAGCTCAATAATCTGACTAGTGCTATGAGTAAGGGATTAAAGACTCCTACTATTATCGTGTTGCTGTAAATTTCTTTTCTTTGGTCTAGTAGTATTTTGTTTTTATGAATCTGGATGTTTTAGTATTGGTTCAGTATATCTTTAGGATTGTTATGCATTCTTACTAAATTGATCCCATTATCATTATATAGTGACCTTCTTTGTTTTTTTTTATACTGCTGTTGATTTAAAGTACGTTTATCTGATGTAAGCATAGTTACTCCTGTTGGCAGTCGGTTTCTGTTTACATGGAATATTTTCCCTTTTACCTTGAATGTATAATTCAGTGTGGTGTCTTTAAGCTGCATATGGTTTGATTTTGTACTTTTTCTCCATTCTGCCAATTTATATATATTTTTTATTTATTATACTTTAAGTTCTGGGATACATGTGCAGAACGTGCAGGTTTGTTACATAGGTATACACGTGCCATGGAGGTCTGCTGCACCCATCAACCTGTCATCTACATTAGGTATTTCTCCTAATGCTCTCCCTCCTCTAGCCCCCACCCCCTGACAGGCCACAGTGTGTGATGTTCCCCTCCCCACGTCCATGTATTCTCATTGTTCAACTCCCACTTATGAGTGAGAACATGTGGTGTTTGGTTTTCTGTTCCCGTCTTGGTTTGCTGAGAATGATGGTTTCCAGATTCATTCATGTCCCTGCAAAGGACATGAACTCATCCTTTTTTATGGCTTCATAGTATTCCATGGTGTATATGTGCCACATTTTCTTTATACAGATTATCATTGATGGGCATTTAGTTGGTTCCATGTCTTTGCTATTGTGAACAGTGCCACAATAAACATATGTGTGCATGTGGATAAATGATCTCTTTTTACTTTTGAATTTGAATTTACTTTCATTTGGATGGGATTTTTAAATTTCCTTTTTGGAACATGGCTACAATGTATGCTGTCTAGGGTTTTTCGCCTTTGGTTCTAAGTGCTTTCAGTGGCAAAGACTCTCTGTATATGTGTTCCTTGGTTATTGATAGCCTTACTATGATGGTTTTCTCAAGTTGGTTGTAGTAGCTAGCTATGTACAGGGCTTGTGAACAGGCTCACAAATTCCTGCTGGGCTGGGATGGAGGGGGTGTCAGAAAGCTTCTTTTCTAGTGCTATGTACTCATGTCAGCAGATTTTGTATTGGGTCATGAAGTTCAATCTTCAGGCTAGTAGGTCCCCTCTACTACAGACATTCTGCTACTTTGTGTAGAGAGGGGAAGGGCCAAACCTTTCATGCAAGCCTTAGCCCAGTTGGGATGCTGTTGCCCCTAAGAGCCCTAGAATGATCCTCCTCTGGCATGCTTGTATCAATCCCCTGTTGGAGCAGCCACAGGTGTTTCTGCAGCAGTGGGTGGAGGTGGGAGGAGAAATGCCTATCCCCAAGGCTGTTCTCAAATACTGAGGTCAGTTGGCCACAGGGAGAGAATTTCACTTCTCCCTTGCAGAGCCAACTAAAGCACCCATATCTCCATTGGAAGTGTCACAGTCATTCTCAGCCCTTAAGCAGGGAGCTCTCAGGCACAGTAAATTATATGCTCTGATTTCTTTTGTCCCAAAAGCTGCTCCCTTGATGTGCTGCTCTCCACCTTCCCTTAGAAGCAACACTGCCTAAGGGCTAGAACACTGGGAACCTTGCAATCCTCTGTGTTCGGGGAGACTTGTGTGGTTGTTGCAAGCTGAGCAGGTGGTGGAGATGGTCTATGGGGGCTTTGGTGATGTGGAGACACAAGGGCAGAGATTCTCTAATTAGGACACAGTCCCCTGATGGCTGTACTTCCCAGTATAATGCCCCCCACCACGGCTTAGGTCCAGAGTGATATATGTTGGTAGTCTGGTGTAATGCCCTCAAGAAGAACCCAAGTTGCTGCCCACACCAGTGATGATTGGTTTATGAGAGCAGAGGAGCTCTCTGTCATTTCAGATACTGGCAGTCTGCCTCAGGGATGAGGAGATAAAAACATTCCCACTCAACCTTTCAACAAATTACCAAGTCCCTCATGGTTCCTATGTGACTTCTGCCAGCTTCACGCTTCCCTCTTTCTTTGTACCCTTGTTTATTCCCATTAGCTCTTTACTAGGCTCCACCCTTCCCTTGGCATTCTATTTGAGATATAATTATTCCCCTGTAACTTTGGTTCTACTTTTTGAGAAAAACTAATATCCAACATCTCTAGTAAGTCATCTTGACAAAATATAATTTTTGTTATAAGTAATTTTGCATAAATTCATAAAAGGCACCAGCCAAATATCAAGCACTAAAATTAACTGCTACCTCAAAATTATGTTTACTTTTGTGTGCTTTTAGATAAATATTCAATATCTTAAAACTTACAATTTCTAATACACATAGAATCTATGTAATGCAGATAAAAATCTTTGAATAAAACTTGAAATGGTAAAAGATATTAAAGCTTAAAACATATTTTTCTTCAAAAATTTTCAAGGGGCTTTATGATAGCTGACAAGAAGCACTTTGTACTCAACTCCTCCACTAGAAGCACCAAAATTATGAATAGATTATCACACCTCAAATCGATGAAACAAGAGAAAATGGAAATTCAATGGAAAAGTGACAGACAATAATTAAAGCAAAGGAGAAGGAAGCAAGGCAGCTTGCAAGGCCAGCAGTGGCTGAGAGCTGAGAGATACTCCCCAGTATGGAGAAAGAGTAAGCGAAATACCCTCAGAGGTTTACGTTTGCATCATGTACTCTGGCAATCCTAGCCATAGGAAAGACCCTTAACCCTTGGAGGACCCTGAAACTAACATAAAGAGCTAGAAGGAAATTGTGTGAAGGCACTGCACCAATGAGGAAGGTAGCACTGAGTCCCACACATTCTCTGAGACCACAGCAGCTACAGCAAGGCACCATTTTAGAGCCCCGTCTTCAACAGACTGCTCACTGTGCTAGAGTCCAACATCACTGGCGCTGAGGCACAAGAGACGTGACAGCTGCTGCCACCAGGCCTTAGGTGCAAGCAACCATGGTTGACCACACCTGAGACTGAGCAGCAAGCAAGGCTCCCCAATAACTGCACTTCACCTGTAAAGACATATAAAGTCTGAAAATAAAGGAATGACAAAAGATATTTCACGTAAATGCAAGCTAGCAGGACTAGCTCTAGTTAGAGTAGATAAAACAGACTCCAAGTTAAAAGCAGTTAAGAAAAAAAAAAGAAAAAGAGGACAATGAAGGGCATCATATAATGATAAAAGGAAAAATCTGGCAAAAGGATATAACAATTCTAAATATGTATGCACCCAACACTGGAGCACCCAGATTAATAAAGCATATATTCCTAGATCTAAAGAGAGAGACAGACTGCAATACAATAATAGTGGAGGACGTTAACAATGCACTAGCAGCATTAAACAGATCATCTAGACAGAAAATCAAAAAAGAAACATTGAATGTAAACTGGATCTTAGACCAAAGGGACCTAACAGACATTTACAGAACATTTTATCCAATAACTGCAAAATATACTACACATTCTTCTCATCACTACATGGAACATTCTCCAGGATAGGCCATATGTTATTCTTCAAAGCAGTTTCAACACATTTTAAAAAATTATATTATCTTCTAAGAACACAATGGAATATAACTAGATATCAACACGACGAGGAACTTTTGAAACTGTACAAATACATGGATGTGAAATAACACGCTCCTGAACAGCCATTGGGTCAATGAATAAATTAATATAAAAATAAAAAAAAATTATCACAAACGAAAATGGAAACACAACATACCGAAAACTATGGGATTCAACAAAAGCAGTACTAAGAGGGGAATTTGTAGCAATAAACATGTATATCAAAAGAATAGAAAATTTTCAAATAGTATAACAATGCACCTCAAGGAATTAGAGTAGCATGAACCAGACAAAGCCGAAATTAGCAAAAGGAAAGAAATAATAAAGATCAAAGCAGAACTAAATGAAATAGACATTAAAAAACACACAAGTTCAGTGAAAAGTTGATTCTTTGAAAGGATAAAAAAAAATGATTAAATGTTAGCTAGACTAACCAGGAAAAGACCCAAATAAACAAAATCAGAAATGAAAAAAGCAACATTGCAACTAATACTACAGAAATACAAAATATCATCAGAGATTATGAACAACTATGTATTAAAATAGTGGAAAACATAGAGAAAATGGGTATATTTCTGTAAACATACAACCTATCAAGATTATATGAGAA